>NC_000005.10:83140110-83443140 GCF_000001405.40 Homo sapiens
AACTAATAGGATATATGTATATATGAAAGGGAGTTTGTTAAGGAGAATTGACTCATATGATCACAAGGTGAAGTCCCACGACAGGGCGTCTGCAAGCTGAGGATACAGGAAGCCAGTAGTGGCTCAGACTCAGTCCAAAAGCCTCAAGAGCAGGGAAGCTGATAGTCTGTGGCCAAAGGCCAGAGATCCCCCGCAAACCACCGATGTAAGTCTAAGAGCTCAAGGGCCGAAGAACCTGGAGTCTGATGTCCAAGGGCAGGAAGCATCCAGCACAGGAGAAAGATGAAAGCCAGAAGACTCAGCAAGCAGCTTATCCCACCTTTCTCGCCTGCTTTGTTCTAGCCGCACTGGCAGCCCATTGAGGGTAGGTCTTCCTCTGCCAGTCCACTGACTCAGATGTCAGTCTCTGGCAACACCCTTAAAGACACACCGAGATACAATATTTTGCCAGCTATCTAGGCATTCTTCAATCAAGTTGACACGTAATATTAATCATCACAGCATGTAAAACAGTTTAAGAATTGCTAATGAATATCCCTGTGAAAAACAAATTTTTAAAATATAGTACAGTATTTGATATAGTCCTTTTTGTCTTTATGCATATATTTAAAATTTCTTAATTTAGTTTTATTCTTTCCCACCCCTTTCTGTTTCTCAATTTCATTTTGGATTCATCTCAATTCTAGCTGGTATTGATTAATTATTTACTTTTGGGTATGTGAACAATTACAAAAAATCAGAACTACCTAAAAAGGTATATTCAGAGATGTGCCACTGCACTCTTACCCTACTACACTCTTCTCATTTCCAGACATTTTACATTACATTTCCATCCAACCCTTTTATGTAGCCAAGCTCATTAGTTTCTGGTTTATGTGTCCCGTATTTCTTTTGTACAAATGAGTATGCACATTTTCTTATATTCTTTCTTAAATGAAGGGTAGTACGCTATAAACACAATTCTTTTGCATTTTGCTTTTTTACATAGCAATGTATTCTGGAAATCACTCCATATCAGCTCATAAGGAACTTCTCCTTTTTTGTGTGTACAAGTACATAATATGCCATTTAGGGATATGTCAACTTTCAACAACCCTCCAATGTATGGGTATTTGAGTTGTTTCCAGTATTTCATTATGTAAACAACACTGCAATGAATAACCTATGTATTTTTGTATTGTTGAAGGTTTATCTTTTCAGGTGAATTCCTACATGTGTGATTGGTAGATCAAAAAGTAAGTATGCATGTTGTTTTCTTAGATGTTGCCAAATTTCTCTCCAGAAAAGGTGGACCAGTTTGAATTACCACTAGTAACATATGAAATTGCCTGATTCCTCACACCCTCACCAACAGAACCCCATTGTTTTTACTTTTTAATTTTCTTTTCTCTGATAGGTGAGAAATTATATCTCAGTGTTGTTTTAGTTTGCATTTTTCCAATTGCGAGTGAATTTGAACACATTTTCATGTCTCTAAAGGTCATTTCTGTGTCTTTTTTTGTGTATTGTTTGTTTGTGTCTTTTTCCTCTTTTTTTTCTATTTGATTTTGATCCTTTGTCCTTCAAATTTGAAGATGTTGAAAATGTATTAGGGACATTAACACTTTATTTGAGTACTACTTATTTTGAAGTGTTCCAATATAATGTATTCATTGTGCTTCTTTGGTGTTGGACTTCCCAAAATATTAATCTGGAACAGGTAGGTCAGGTCTCAGATATTCTGAATCTTGTACAAAAAAAAAAAAATGCTGTTTCAATCTGTTTGTGACAGAAATGAATAAACTTAGGAAATGTGATTAGAAAATAGACCTCTGTGTGGCCATTGTTATTCTCTCTATATCTTTTACACCTACTGTCTTCTGGAAAGTTCTTATTGCATGTGTGGAAATATCTTACCTATCAGTTTTCAGTTACCTTCTTTTATTCAAAACTGTTGTCTCCTTTCTTGGTATTCCTATAGATTTTCTATATTTCATTATTACATTTACATTGAATTGTGGGCTGGCGTTTTAGCTGCCTGAGGTTCAGGGCCTTGTTGTCATATTTCCCTCCTTTTCTGTGCTTAATAATGAAAGTTACTAATAATGAGGATGGCCACTGTGTGCTGTACGTGATACTCTGCCCTGTACATGAAACTCTGATGATATTATCCAGTAGGTCCTGTTACCATTTCAGTGTTATGGATGAGGAAACTAACTCTCAGTGGTGTTTAGATGAGGAAACTAACTCTCAGTGGTGTTTAATTTGTCTACAGCCAAATAGCTAGTGAGTGGCAAAGCTGGAATTGAACACAGGTGGTGTGGCTTCAAAGCATATGGGACTAATTACAATACTATATATCATGTCTTTTACTTTTGTACTTAGTTAATGTGCTTAAATGTTAATTTAGTTGATTTATTAAAGTTCTGTGACATTCTTGATATTCCAGGTATAAAATTGGGAGGGCCTTGGCCAAGGGAGTGGAAGTGAAAGTAAAGTGTAACAGCAAGAGAAATTGAACATCCACATGGAATTAAGTTTGGTTAAGTTTGTAAGGATATTTGAAGTTTTGTGAGAGTGAGTCTCCTGTTTTTTTTGTTTGTTATTTTTTAATTGTCATTAATTCTGATTACATCAGCAAAAGGAACCCGTTCTGTAGATGGCAACTATGTAGATGACATCTCAGAGTCACCAGTTCATTTGTACATTGTTTTAAAATTATTAAGAGATCTCAGCTGTGATGTTATTTTTATTTGCTAAGTGCTAAACATTAAACATTACTAAAATTTCCATCGGAGAAATTATTTGTTTAAATAATTTTAACAAAGCCTTGATTAGCATAAATATTTCTTAATGGGGTTGCTTGCCAAGTTGAGATACAATGCTTATGATACAATTTTGAATATATAGGTGTTCCTTTACACTTGGTAACACTTAAATGTAGAGATTCAAATAGTTACCAGTGACAGTACTTTTTGATGAAAAATGATAACCTTTTCCATACTATTTTACAGGTGCCTCATAACTCTATGGAATAAGTGTGATTATTTGTTAGTATTATTTTAAGATTAAATGACTTACGAAAGTCCTGCTCCAGTGCTGTTTTGATATTTTGAGAATTAGTTTTGTTATTATTGTATTTTAATCTACCTTTATACTGAAAATACTTAGGTATAGTAAGGTCTATTACATTTATAAGTGAAGTGAAAATACCAAAATGTGTAGTAAAACAGCTACCTGACCAATTTTAAAGGAATGTACTACTTCATATTGCAAGTTCACCCACTTTGATCACTATATGTGTATCAAAATATCACAGGTATGCCATAAATATATAAAATTATGTAACAATCTAAACTAAAAAAATAAAATTATAAGAAAATAACTGTTAAAAGCAACATTCTAACATTCTGTTGTGGAGTTGGTATTTCCATTTCTTTTGCTTCTTATTCCTTCCTGCTGATCCATATTTCTGTCTGGTATCATTTCATTTTATCCTGAACAAATTCCTCTAGCATTTCCTGTAGTACAGGCTGGCTGGCAACAAATTCCCTTAGTTTTATTTTAATTTTGCCTTCAATCTTGAAGGACCTTTTCTCTGAACAAAGATTCTAGATTGAAGGTTTTTTTCTTTCTTTTAGAAATTTCAATGTGTTGTTTTGTTTTCTCGTCTCCATTTTTTTTTCTGATAAGTTAGCATTCATTTGAATTATTGTTCTTTTGCATGTAATTGTTTTTCCTTGACTGCTTTTAATATTTTCTCTTTAACTTTGATTTTTAGCAGCTCGACTATGATGTGCCTAGGAGTTTTCTTTCTTTTTTTTAATTTCAATAGGTTTTAGGGTACAGGTGGTTTTTGGTTATATGGATGAATTATATATTGGTGAAGTCTGAGATTTTAATGTACCAGTTCCCTAATTAGTCTACATTCTACCCTATATGTAGTTTTTTATCCCTCATTCCCCTCTGCCTTCCCCCCTTCTGAGTCTCAGATGTTCATTATATCACTCTATATGTCTTTGTGTAACTATAGCTTAGCTCCCACTTGTAAGTGAGAACATGAAGTATTTGATTTTCCATTCCCAAGTTACTTCACTTAGAATAATGACCTCCAGCTCCATCCAAGTTCCTGCAAAAGACATCATTTCCTTCTTTTTTCTGGCTGAGTAATATTCCTCTGTGTGTGTGTGTGTGTGTGTGTGTGTGTGTGTGTGTGTAAAATTGAACATCCACATGTAGTCAGTATATACTGAACTAATTTGATCAAGTTTGTAAGGATATTTGAAGTTTTGTCAGGGTGAGTCTTCCCAATATCCTTACAAACTTCACCTAATGACTATTTCTCAGAACATATCCCCACTGTTAAATACCCATGCATGCATATACCATATTTTCTTTTTCCAAGGAGTGGACTTTTAAAAATGTTTTCTTTTTTGTTTGTTTGTTTGTTTTGTGTCTCCCCACCCCCCCCCCCCCACCCCCACGGATTGGCTGAGCTTCTTGAATCTATGAATGTATGTCTTTCAATCAAATTGGGAAATTCTTGGCTATTATTTTTAAAATGCTTTTCTACCTCCATTCTCTTTTTTCCTTTTCTTCTAAGACTTTAAAAATCCTTCTGCTGTTTGTCCTGCAGATTGGATAATTTATATTGATCTTTCTTCAAGTTCATTGTCTCTATTTTCATCTCAATCTAGTGATTTAAAAAATTTTATAGTTTTTTATTTGTAATATTTCCATTTGGTTCTTGTTTATAGCCTTTATTTCCCCCATGAGGTTTTCTGTATTTTCATTTGTCATGATCATAAATTATTATTATTATTTGAGACGGAGTCTCACTCTGTTGCCCAGGCTGGAGTGCAGTGGTGCAATCTTGGCTCACTGCAAGCTCCGCCTCCCGAGTTCATGCCATTCTCCTGCCTCAGCCTCCCGAGTAGCTGGGACTACAGGCACCCGCCACCACGCCTGGCTAATTTTTTGTATTTTTAGTAGAGACGTGGTTTCACCGTGTTAGCCAGGATGGTCTCCATCTCCTGACCTCATGATCCGCCTGCCTCGGCCTCCCACAGTGCTGGGCTTACAGGCATGAACCACCACGCTCGGCTCATAAATTATTTTTAATCCTTAATTACAGTGATAATAGCTAATTAAAAATCCTTGTCTGCTAATTTAAACATCTAGATAAACTTATGTCAGTTTCCATTGACTGTGGCTTTTCTTCAGTGTGTTATTTCTCTACTTGTTGACAACTTTTAGATTTAATACTGAACATTGTGAATGATGTAGAGAGGAGATTCTCTTAGACTCATCTGAGGAGTATTGGTTTTTTGAGGTAAGGAGGAGTCTGTTTTCTGAGTCAGTTAACTTGGCTGTATTTCAACTTCAAACTTTGTTTCCTATGTGGTAGGTGTTAGCTGAAATTTCAGGTCAGTTCTTTTAACCTTAGCACTGTTACTTGGAGTCTGTCTCAAATATACTTCATTTAGAGTTTAGCAAGAGATTTGAACAGTTTATCCATAGGATTTAGAGCTTCTCTCCTCTGCTTCTTCCTTTCTAAAATTGTCTTCCTCACTTTTCAAGTGCTGTGATTTCTCTGAAAGCCTGTCTTCAGGATCTTCAATTTAATAGAACTGGTTTCTGCTAAATTTTAGCTGCTCTGCATGGCTGATATTTGAGCCCTCACTCAGGTTATGGGAATCTTATTCAGTGTTATTCTTTTTTTTCCCCAGAATCAATCTGCTTTCATTCACTTTCCTGTGCAGTCAGGTCTTTTTTTTTTTTTTCCTAATATTTTGTGCTGAGTTTATAATTGTTATCTATGATAGGGTTGTTCCTATGGGAATGGCCTGACCATGACTAAAAGCAGAGCTCTATACTTAGCTTTTGAGCTCTCCAGTCCCTTATGTCTCATGACTTTTCTCTATATTTCAACAAAAGTATGTTTATATTATTGAACTTTCCACTTGTTAGGAAATTGGTACTGTGACCTAATTCCTTAGAATCAGTCTTTCTGCTGTCCTAGTTTATGCCTTGCCTAATTAAAGTCATGCCTGTATTTGAAAAGTGGAAAACTTCCAAGGAAAGTGAGCAGCTGGTATTGACACTCAAAAGAGTTTTATGAAATGAAAGTAAGCAAAGGGCCAGTTAGGCTGAACTTCAGGAAAAAGTATCTAATGGTGAGATTTGTGAGACTAAACAATCTGGCAAGGGGACTTTCTCTGAGCTATTTCAAACTGAATTGGAAAAGTCAGGGAAAAAACAAGTAATAAGCCCAGGTCATGCATTGGCAAATGGACAGTTTGTATGATCTCATACTTACCTTTCCCAGTGGCTATTTGGTTGTGGGGTCATTAGCAGAAAAGCGCTTTAGGTTTTACATTATTAATATGAATGTCTGAATTGGACAGAGAAAATAGATTTCTCAAAATTGCTTAAAATTGATGATAAAAATCTTTCTGGAAAGTAAGAAATCATATATTATTCATTTTTGTGTGGTGAAATTCTGTGAGAGCAGGGACAGGAGCTCTCTCATTTGTCACGGTATTGCAAGCACCAAGCATAGTGCCTGGCAAATAGAAGACGTTCAGCAAATATTAGCATTACTTCTACTTTTACTATACCTTACTAAAAAGTGACACACCCACAAACAAATGTCAACTATCAGAAGTGACAATTAAAGTTAATGTTTTCCATTATTTCTCTTATTTTTCTGTATGTTTTCTTTTTCCCCGAGTCCAGAAAGCCTGAATTTAAGGCGATTAGGTTTTCTTTGTGATTTTGTCCACAGGAAAAATCAAAAGGATTTAATTTAGTCCACTGTGAAATGTTACTGTAAGAAAACAAAGTATCAAAGATATTTGCTGGAAGAGAGAATATTAAGCAAAGCAGTTAATCATACTGAATCTGAAGTCAGATGGTCCTGACTTTTAATTCTGGCCACAAATTACACTCGTTCTGTGGCCTTTGACAAATACTTGCTCTGTGATCTTTAACAACTTCTCAAGCTTATCTGAACCTTAGTATCATCGTGTTTTAAAAATGTGGGTAGAATCCATGGGGTGTGGTGATGGACACCTGTAGTCCTAGCTATTTGGGAAGCTGAGGTGGGAGGGTCTCTTGAACCCAGGAGTTCAAGTCCAGCCTGGGCAACATAGCGAGGCTTTGTCTCTAAGAAACAAACAAAAACTCCATACACACAGGAAAGAATCAACCCGGGTATCCATCAGTAGATGAATGGAGAAGGAAAATGTGATAGATCTACAAAATAGTATACTATTCAGCCTTAAAACACAAGGAAATACTGTCACTTGTGGTAACATGGATAAACCTGGAGGATATTATGTTAAGTGAAATAAGCCAGGCACTGAAAGACAAATACTATATGATTTCACTTATATGTGGAATCTAAAAAAGTTGAACTCATGGAAGCAGAGAGTAGAATGATGGTTACCTGGGGTTGGGGGTGGGGTAGAAGGTGCTTGAAGAAATTTTGGTCAAAGGATACACAATTTCAATTAGGAGAAATAAATTCAAGGGATCTGTTGTATAACACAGGGACTATAGAAATAACATGTACTGTATTCTTGAAAATCACTAAGAGTAGATTTTAAAGTGTTGTCACCACAAAAAATCATAAGTATGTGAAGTAATGCATATGTTAATTAGCTCAATTTAGCCATTGCGCAATGTATATATATTTCTTTTCTTTTTTTTTTTTTTGACACACAGTTTAACTCTGTTGCCCAGGCTGGGGTGCAGTGGCACGATCTTGGCTCACTGCAATCTCTGCCTCCCAGGTTCAAGTGATTCTCGTGTCTCGGCCTCCTTAGCTGGGATTACAGACACATGCCACTATGCCCAGCTAATTTTTGTATTATTAATAGAGATGGGGTTTCACCATGTTGACCAGGCTGTTCTCGAACTCCCGGTCTCAGGTGATTCGCCCTCCTCGGCCTCCCAAAGTGCTGGACGTCATCTTATATGTGATAAATCTATCAACTAACAACCGATAAATTCATCAACTTTAATCAGTTTTAATTTATCAATTAAAAATTAATTGATTAAAAAGCATGGATAGCTAGCACCTATTAAATATGGCAGTTGTGAATTTAAAATGAGATTAGTATATAAAATTGTTTTGCATTGTATCTGATACACAGTAGGTGCTTGATAAAATATAGCTGCAGTTTTGGTGGTTATTGTATTCATCTTAATCTTCTTTGTAGTTCCTTCTTTCTGTTTTTTAGATAATTTGATACTTTAACATAGGGCCAATTAGTGGCTTTGTGACCTTCAACATTTTTGACTTAACTGTTACTCTTCAGTTAAATTGTTTATGAAATGAGGGGATGAATCAACTCAGTTTTGCTCCCCTGTATCAACTGTACTTGGTGGACTTTTCTGGGAGAGTTATTCTTTGAGTACTCTGAGATTACTTCCATTGCTCACTAGAATACATGATGTAATTCTGAGTTTGTGAACCAGATATGACATCATTCACTATCCATTTATAGCTTCCGTCTTCAATTTTCAATAGGTGAGAATATAAAATACGTTTTTAAATCCTCGTTTATATAACTTTACATTTTTAAAAACAATGATTAAGTGCTCAATTTATGTTATGCATTGTATTAGGTGCTTCCCTTGAGTTTGTGAGGGGTGAAGGTATCAGTGGTTGAATCCTGGAATAGATAGCTTACTTAGGACATCAATAATGATAATAATAATAATAATAAAGTAATACTGTTATAATGAAGATATAATAATAACAATGAAGAAATAAAAAATAGTAAAGAGATTGTATCAAATGTACTCAAAATTAATACATTTTTTGTAACAGTGTTTAACAAACTGTAAGAATTTAAAACTACCAGCAAAAAGAAGAGCTTATGCTATATTATTTTTGCAACATTGTACAGTGAATAGCACTATCCAAAGCAAGACCTTTGTTATTGAATCAGAATACTGAAACATAGTGCATTTTGCTTTAATTATCAAATAAATCATAATTGACATGGTAATATGACTATATTGATTTATATTTTCATTTCCTAATGGTATCTGTAGCCACGCATAGATTTGGATCAATCCACTGATGATTCTTTTTGTTGGATCTTGAAATGTGAGAAAAGTCTCTCTACATGGTATTCTGCTGTTCGCAGAGCTTACTTTGGCCTGTTTTTCTATAGAGTTACTAAGATTCAGCAGGTATTCTTCAAATGGCTGAATGACATTGAAGTGTGTTGCATTATCTTCTGGTCTACAATATTTAGGTTTTTTTTTTGAGATACAGGATATATATGTAATGGATATTTCATTATGTGTTATACTTTTGTAATATGCTATACTTTAATAGGATAATAATTAAAGGCAGCTTTAAAGCAAAATGAATAACTCATTCAATACAACAAAAACTCCAAATTTTCTAGTGTTGTTAATTATAATTATTGCTTTTCTTTTTGTCTTTTGAAGCAGTGATCAAAGAAGTTGCATTTCTGTGTGATTCAATATTTTGAAATATTTAGTTCAACTCAATGTAGTATTTCATCAAAATAAGATGGTGGTGTTAACACTGATTTATAAATGTACCAATATGCTAACCTGCTAAGCTGCTATCTGGCAGGTTGTAAATATTCTATATGATAGCAATTTTTTAGGGTTTTGGGTAGTGATAGCAGAACATGTTGTTTCTCCCTATTAAGATAACAATTTGGTTGGTATACTCTGTTACAACCCAGCTGCAAAACCAAAGTGGACCACCCACAGAGAGTCCAGTTAGAGATTACTGAGGTTTGGCTGGCTAAACTACTACCACCTAAACAAATATCATCACCAGTTCTGTGACTCAGTGCTTGATCTAAGTAAGTGATTACTTAGAAGAGAATTTTTCCAAGTGCCCAAGCTTCTGAGATTCTGTATTTAAAAAATAATAGAATAATAAAAGCAGGAAGAACATCCTTTGAAACAAATTTTAAAACCTGATAATTAAATTTAATCTTCTATTCGTGGCTAAATTATAATACTTTCCTAACTTTTGGTATAGCAAGCCTCTTATTATTTTAAATGTGACTAAATAGCTTCATGTGTAATACCAGCACTCTTCATAAAATATTTTTTGTATTGTCTGTGTTTTGCCATTACAATGAGATTTTTGAGAATATAAGAAATGCACTTGTTACTCTGATATCATTTTATTGGATATCCTTGAATTGCACACATTCGTAGCAGTGTCTCATAATGAAGTCAGTGTATTCCTTTTTTGGGGGAAGCTTCTTAATGTTAAAAGCTTCCTAAGCATTATTTGCTAGATCACAGTTTGAATGGCAGTGTAACTGTGTAGTCTGATGATATATTGTTTGCATAACAGAGGTCACATGGAGTTCTGAGTATTTCCCAGATAACTTAACTAACTGCTCAATTAAGAAAAAAAGCTTGCTGAAAGATGAAGTGATGCTTTCAATGGTCACAGAGAATACAGGTGCAATGAAGATCTCTCTAGGTGTTAACTAATGACTGAGGGTACAACATAAATATACACACATGTTCTTATGTTGATGGAATATGAATAATGAGATTATTGGACTTGTGTGCTGTGTGATTTATTCCAAAAATGTATCCTAGCCTTTTTGAAATTTATTCTATGTTCTGTCATGACAGCCATAAATCAGCATGAGGAATTATTGGATTTACTATGGCTTGAATTGTTACCTCCATGATAAAGATAAATGTAATTATTCAGGAAATTATTTGCTTGTATAATTTATAGTTTGCTGGTCAAGAGGATTTTTTATATTGTAATTGATAGATAGATACCTTATTAGAAAAATAGCCTATGAGGGTTTTGTTTTGTTTTGTTTTGGAGTGAATGGATTGTTTATTCTGGTATGATTCCTTTGCTATCTCAATTTCTTTTTCTTTCTTTCAGGTGCAAGTTTAAAATAAGATTTATTTAAAATAAAGCTGTGCATTTTAAAATAGCAAGGCTTCATATATACATTTTAGACACAGAAAAAGTTACAAAAAATGCCAAATGTCTCCATAAAATTGAAATAGAATAATTAGTTGTATTTTGGTGTTAAAAAATAAATGTAGTATTTCAAAACTAGATTCTGAACTCCATGAATCACATAAATCATAAATATGACAGTATTTTCTTCATAGGGTAGTCTTTTATATGAATAGTTTATAGTCTCTGACAGTCACAACTAGAGGAAATAAGATGAAGAACCAGAATGAGTTTTATTAGGCAGGTGGCTTTCCTCCTAGTAAAATAGGCTTATGTACTGCTGAAAAGTGCCATATAAAAAGGAAGAACTGTTGATGTATTGAATCAGAAGAAATTATGTTTTCCTTTGCAAAAAGGTTCATAGAAAATCCCATTCATAAAGATTTTTTGTCAGTATATTATTTTTTATCAGGCCTTAAAAGCTGACCAACAGAAAAAACTTGAATTACTATAAACCTGATGGAAGTGGTTTTAGTTTAGTTGAGCCTATATTAATGATTTAAAATCTTCATTAAGTTCCCATAATATAATAGCCATATTGGATTGGGGATAAAAATAAATAAATAAATGAATAAATATCCATAACACAATTTTTCCATTGCCCTCACCAATGTTCTGTGTGCACTAATATATTCAACAAATATATTTCTGCCGAAACCTTACCACTAAGAGTTTGAAACTGACTAGAAGCAAAAATCAGATAAAAGGATATAGTAACATTAACCAAATGTGCAGTTTGATGTGGAAGAAGGTTTAACTTTTATTATACAAATTCAGTTCAGTGGAGATTATTCAATACTATGCTTCATTAAAATGTTTTCTACATGCATTGCCTCCCCTACTAAAACATCACATCACTACAGACTTGGGACTTTAGCCCCAAGAAGTGCTCCAAAGCGGAACCATGGTTAGCCAAGTGTTGGCATAACTAGTTATTATTTTTTAAACCTACATATTACAAAACATACCAACTAATGACTAATGTGATAGAAATGCAAAATTGAAGTAATAGTTCTCAGCAACTAAAGTATTGAATTAAATGTTACTAAGCAATAAAAGATTAACAAATGTTAATTCCATTGTTGTTAATGATAGTTTAATATTGATGTCTGATTAGTCAAATTAAAAAGATATAGCCAAACTTTTTTAAATTAGTGTTTAAGGTTTTTTAGGCAACTAAGGTTTTCTTCCTAAATTGAAACTTCATGCCTAAGAATATTTAATGATATATGTAGGTATAATTGAAATAGAACTTCAGGCCTGGCACGGTGGCTCACGCCTGTAATCCCAGCACTTTGGGAGGCCGAGGCGGGTGGATCACGAGGTCAGGGATTCGAGACTCAGCCTGACCAACATGGTGAAACCCTGTCTCGACTAAAAATACAAAAATTAGCTGGGCTTGGTGGCGGGTGCCTGTAATCCCAGCTACTCAGGAGGCTGAGGCAGGAGAATTGCTTGAACCCGGGAGGCAGAGGTTGCAGTGAGCCAAGATTGTGCCACTGCACTCCAGCCTGGACGACAAAGTGAGATCCTGTCTCAAAAAAAAAAAAAAAAAAAAAGAAATAGAACTTCAAATATATTTCAAAGACCTTTAAAAGAAGGTTTTTGGAAAGATCTATGTTCTTTTTAAAGTATTTCTCTTTAAATTTTGACATAATTGTAGATTCATATGCAGCTACAGAAGTAATATTTACAGAGATCCTGTGTGTACTTTACCCAGTTTCCCAAATGGTCGTGCAGTCGATCTACAGTACAATATCACAACCAGAAAACTGACATTGATAAAGCCTACCCATCCTATTTCGTCAGTTTTAAATGCATTCATTTTTGTTTGTGTATGTATTAAATTCGATGTGATTTTATCTCATGTAGGTTCCTGTGTCTATCACCAAAGTCACAAATACGTTTCTATGACCACAAGAATACTTCCTGTTGTCCCATTCCTAACCCCTGGCAACCACTAATCCATTCACCATTTCTATGATTTTGTCATTTCAAGAATTTTGTTCTATCAGTGGAATCACAGAGCATTCAATCTTTTAGGACTGGCTTTTTTTCACTCAGCATAATTCCCTTGAGAGCTGTCCAAGCTGTTTCATGTAACAATAGTTCATTCAAACTTTTTTTTTTTTTTGACAGAGTCTTGCTCTGTCACTCAGGCTGGAGTGCAGTGGCATGATCATGGCTCACTGCAACCTCCG
The DNA here is from genome assembly GCF_000001405.40 of Homo sapiens. NCBI lineage: Eukaryota > Metazoa > Chordata > Mammalia > Primates > Hominidae > Homo > Homo sapiens. Next base: position 83,153,296 of record NC_000005.10, read on the forward strand.
CCTCCCGAGTTCAAGCAATTCTCATGCCTTAGCCTCCCAAGTAGCTGGGATTACAGGTGCCCACCACAATGCCCGGCTAATTTTTGTATTTTAGTAGATAGGGTTTCACCACGTTGGCCAGACTTGTTATTATATATTCCAGATACTAGAGAATATATAATCATTCTCCAAATGTAACAGTAAAAAATGATTTAGAAAATGTGCACAAGACATGAACAGCCATTTCACCAAGGATGATATATAGGTGGCAGATAAGCACATTGGAAATATATTCAGCATCATTAGCCATCAGTGCGCACCTTCCTATCAGAATGACTAAAATGAAAAATAGTGATGATGACAAAGGCTGGCAAGGATGCCAAAAAACAATCACACATGCATTGCTGGTTAGAATGTAAATTTTTAAATTTCCCTCCACTCCTCAATGTCAATGATTTTTTTGTGAGTAATTTTCATATGTTGAATTTCTAGTAACAGATATAATCATATTTAAACTTGTGATTTATATACTCATGTTTTTGTCAAACTTTAAGTCTGGAAGATGTTTAATTTCTTATTTCTACCTAATTGTCACCATGTTGTTACTGGTAGAAGACACTTTTTATTCACATAATTGTGTTATTGTATATGTATTTTTACAACTTTTTTATTGGGTGAAGAAATATATGGTACTTCAGCCTCATTTACCTCTCATAATGTGCTGTGCACTCTGGAGAAAGCTAGTTGGATTTTTGGAAGCAGATATATCTTTATCATACAGTTAAGGAAAGTGTTGGCCACCAAGGCCATCATTCTAATTTTGAATACATATGAATTGGCCTTTTTGCTACTTACAGTTTTGGAATCTTTGGTGGGGATACAAATGCACGTCCCTTGGAAATTTTTTGGTTTTATTTTTTATCCTAGAAAATAACTGTTGTGAAGATGTCAATATGGAATTATTTTGTCTCAGGCATCCAAAGACTCATCATGAATTAACTTAGGGAAAAAAAAGGTTGTATTGCCAGTTGAGCATTTCAAAGACCAAAATCCAATATTTGAAATGCTTTAAAATCTTACATTTTGAGTACCAACATGAAATTCAAAGGAGATGTTCATTAGAGCATTTCAGATTTCATTTTTGGATTCCTGATGCTAAACTGGTATAATGCAAATATTCCCAAATCTGAAAGAATCTGTATCTGAAGCACTTCTGGTCCCAAGCATTTCAGATAAGGGATATGCAATTTGTATAAGAGGCATGGAATATCTTAAGGAACTCAAGAACCAAAATGTAGACAATTATTAACTATTTGTTCTTTCCCTGAGTCTTTCTGGTTTTTCTTTCTTATTCCATTTGGCTTTCTTTGTCTTTAGTTATATTATGGCCCAGGCATCAAGAGCAATAGTCTTTCTTTTATTGAACTTGAGCATTTCAAAATTCCAAGAGAAGGATTTTTTTTTCTCTCGTGTTTTGATTTGATATCTACCCTTGACAAACCTATTGGACAAATTGAAAAGTAACCACGAGGTGCCTTTCAGTCACCTACAGGATATGGTTCAGCTTCACACAACCTTCAAGTCTCCATTATCTGGCCTGCGCCTTCATCCCACTGTCATCTCTTATCATTCGCAGTCTTATTCTTTTATATCCAACTACACTGGTATGGCTTTTAGTTTCTCTGCAGAAATCACACTATTTTTCTATTCAGTGTTCTTGCTGCTGTTTTTACCTTGTCTGGAAATTCTTTACTCCTCTACTTATTCTTTAATACAAAAATTCTTAGTCCTGGGGCTGGGGCAGGAGAAAGAGGAAGGATATTGTTTCAACAAGCATATCTAATATTGTAATAATCACATTTGGAAAATTAAGTTTGTTTCTTGGTTTTAAATTTAAATTACTCAAAGCAAAGTTTGTTGTAGTCTTGCTTACTAGAAATACACTCATATCATGAGTGTATATGATTCTTGGTCAGACTTCCTTGGAGGACTACTCATCAGATTCTTTGAGGAGGAACTTTGATGTATTTCTAAAGGGGAAAAGTTGTCACTGTTAGGAAGAATGTTCTTAGTTCTTACATTTGAGCAAATCATATACAAAACTACTAATTGCTACATGCATACCAGTCAACTGCATATAGTATTTACTAGCGTAAAAGGTATGTGCAGGCATTGATTTTATGTGGTATTACATGATGTGAAATTGGAAACAGTTGTATAATAGGTATAAAATAAATGTATATTGATTGAATCTTGAACGCTGTCCTCAGTGGACTTAATTCCAGCACTTGAAGATTCATTGTAGACTAGCCTATACTAGTGTGACTTATTAGTTACTTGGATGATGTGTACACATTTTTCCACTGTATTGAAAAATGCACCTAAAATACTGTTAAAAATTGTAAGAACAATTAGAATATAATAAAGAATAATTTCAGCATTTAGAATATTTTAAAACATTTACACCAGTTTAATGTCAATATTCATTTCAGTACCAAGACAAAACCTAAAAAAACTGTATTTAAAAGAATGATTTCTTTCAAAAATAATTTAAAAAATAGTTATTTCTAGGATATTTTGTCTAAACCTATCGTTATTTTAGATGTTTTTTTCTCTAGCGTTAAATAGACAATATGAACTGAGTCTTAATGTCTTTTTACATGTTGATTTGTCATATAAATATTACTCTCACTCTCAAGCCTGGTACCAGTTCTCTGTCACAGAGCAAAAATCCTCACCTCTCATCCCCTTTTTAATTTAAATCTTTACATTCAAAGAGTTTTCTTTGCTGTATTTTTGAAAATGCTATTTTCCTGTGCTTTGGCTACCACCCTGTTTGAATATTGAGACTACTCTAAATTTACTTAAAGAGTTATGAATATGTGTTTGGTAACTGTAGTTTGTTTCGTAGTTAAGGAAATGTTGCTTGTGGTTACAATTCGTGTGCAGTTATTTTAGTTAATTTTGGGAACCATAAGTGAAATAAAATTGTGACTGTTTGCCTAAGTATTTTTTTTTTTTTTTGCTTTTTTGTTGGTACCCTGTTTAAATTCTAGAAGGAGAAATATGTTATTTAGAGAGAGAGCTGTAAAGGAAGTTTTGGGAAAACATATCAAGATATGGATATAATGAGTTTTGAAGCCTATAATGAGGGGGAGAGAGAAAGTCAAATAAAATAAAATTTTCCTGATTGACAAAGAAAAAAGGACATTTTATTGTGATAATCGTATTTCATTCATTTTTTAATATCAGAGATTCTGGTTATTTAGTCAGTATGTCTCAAATTTTTTTTCACTGAGCTATCCCTTCTTGGCCGAAGAGTACAAACTGGGTGTATGGCCTATTAGCCAGCATAAATGGAGAATATCTTTGAAGTGGCTTATATTGCCTTAAATAGTTCACTTGAGACTTTCTGTTAATATGGCAGAAAGCATAAATTTGCAAAGCCAAGAATAGTAGAGAGGGTCTAATAAATATCCATACATTTTTGGAAGATGCAGATGCATAATTTGTAACTAACTAAGTGGTATGGAGAAAGGGTATAGGTGCTTTTAGGAGAGGTTGCTAGAGAGGCAAATGGATTCCTAAGCAGAAACCCCCATGAATTGGGAGTACCAGTTACCTCTAAATGTGGACGTATAAAACAGTGCTGAAACCATGAGGATTTGTTTAAGGCTTGTAAGGGACACTTAGACCACCCAGGCAGCTGTACACCTAGTTCTCCCTCCTTTCATTTTTAGAAAAAAAAATCAGGATTCACAATACTAAACACTGGTAAAGGAAGATTGAGGGATGGACTGTACAAAGAACGTGAGGATTAAATGAAAGTCTGCATAATTAAAAAAGGGAACTGGCTCCCTTCCTTTGCTTAGTTGCAAGTCTTCTAGCAGCCTATCTTATAACTCCCAAGTAAAGAGTAAGCTGATCCAGAGGAAAGACCATCAGATATTGACAGTCAGGGAGGTCATTCAGTGGAAGGTCTCTGTGTGATCACACTATCCTCTATCCTTCCCACTCTATCCTGAAGCTTCCCTACTCTGTTCTGCCTATTGTCGGATGCCTGAAAAGTTACTTCATGTGTTTGTTTCCAGAGTAACTGTTACTCTGTAAATAGAGTTTATAATCAGTTTTTTAGTTCCTCAGTCTTAATTGTGAATGGATAGGCAAGGCTTGCCAGGCATTTGGGGAAATCCTGTAATAAAAACGCAGTGATCAAATAAAATAAAAAAAACATGAAACAGGTTTGAGAAAAAGAGACCTTGAGAGAACAGAATAGCCTTTTAGTAATTTATAATTAATATTTCAGATAAACAAAAGAGGCTTGCATCAGTAAAGCAAAGATAGAATATATGCTATTAAAACAGAGCTGTCAGAGAAAGAAAAGAGTTGTTGGAAATTAAAATAAAGTTTTAAAAATATAGAATGGTAAAACATAAACAGAAGCAGTCTTCCAGGAAGTAAAATTAAAATAAAAAGAGATGAACAATGTAAGAGGAAAGTTAAGAAAATTTGATGATCAATCCAGGAAGTTTATTCTCTAATAAGAGTTCCAGGAAGAGGAAAATGATAGAGAAGTTAATTTAATAAAATTCAAAATATTAGTGTATGAATGAAAAATTGTTTAAAAAATACTTTGGTTATTCAGTTATTGAAAATGCCTATCCTTATTTTGAGGTTTGTTGTTTTCCCCACTTGCTTTTTATTAAGAATCCACCTTCAGATGGGTAGTACATTATATGGGTAATATTTACTCAAATGCAATTTGGAAGTGTTTGTTCATTGTTATGAGGAAGCACTCCTTAAATCTTAATGCTTATATGAGATTTTATCTCTTGAAAATAATTTGAAAAAAGCTAGTTACGTTCAATACCTTTAACTTTGTGAGGTGATGGCGTTTCTACCAAGTAAAGGACGAATAACGTCATCTTCTGTAATGGTCTTTTATGTTTCTGTGTTAGGAGGAAGTGCAGACAACAAATGGATTAGATGATCTAATAGTTATTTTTCCATTTAAAAGGAATTCTTGTTTTCTTTTTAATAAATTGAGAAAACAACTATCCTACATATAATAGTTTACAAGAGGGATTGGATCTCTGTAGATATTGTGAAAGAATCATTGTCTATATTCCAAGACCAATATAAAATCCTTTAATTAATGTAAGATCAGTGTCAACCTATGAAAGATACTTTGAGTATATTTTTAAAATAAATCAATGTAACTTAGCTGATATACACTAAATAAATAGCAGTTATTGAATGCCAAATACTGTAAAATCATCATGGATTTTGAAAAACAAAAGAGGAAAGTGAGGAGGAAGTAATTCATGAATAGACAAAGACAATTTGAGGTTAGGCTTTCAAGATTCATAATAAATACTAAATTTTTTTCTCATAAGACAGTTGCACATTATACTAAAGAATTGCAAACAATTTTAATTGTGGGAGGCAGAAAGGAATGTTGCCCAGTTTTACTGTAAGAAACTGCTTTTTTCTCTTTAGTTATGAAATAGATAGTATGATAGTCCTAAAGAACTAATCTTATATAAAAAACATTGAAAAAAATACAAAATGTTTATTTTTTCTAATTGGCATAGTTATATTAATTCCTTTTATAATTCTCCTCTTTCACCTCCTGCCAGATTGCTTTACTTGTTCAAGTAGTGTTTGAACTGTGCTACTATGAGCTGACGTCACTAACAGCCCCAGCTATTCTGTTCCTCAGCCATACAAATTGAGAGAAGAAATGTGTTGGAAATTAAATACCTATAGTGTAAGTTTTGTGGGATTCTTGTAACTACAGAATTCTGAGATTAATGAACAGAGGACTACCTGGAAAATATAAAAACAATCATTGGTTTGAGGTAGTAAGATAGTTTGGAACTTCACAAAAATATTAAAATTTTTCCATCTTGTCATTATTTTAAAAAATAATAATTATTCATTTCAATTCTGCTTATATTTCCAAATTATATTTTATTATATTTGCAAGGCAGTAATTCCTTTCTTTAGGGAATTTATAATTTATTAAGACTGTTAGTCATTGAGATGGGGTTGATGGAGAACATAAGAAAGTTTGGGGGCAATGGGAATGTTTGACCCAGAGTGCTAGTGCATGCGATTAAATGATATCCATGAATGCCCCCAGAACACTGCCATGTGAGTGAAACAGATAGGCATAGTGAAAGGAGAAATGTTTAGGAAATTTGATGAATATACAACTATAATACAGTTATGTATGACCAAGGTATGTGTATATGTAAAAGACAAGACTTTTTGTTCTGATGATAGGTGAAAAACCAAGGGGCCTCACATGACCTTGTTTCACATGACCTGTCTTCTTATACGGAAAATATCGGAATTATTCTGTAGTCGTGAAAATTTGGGACTGGGGTAGGATGGGAAAAGTAGAAATTCTCATAAATAATCAGAACTAAAATACATGATAATGAATCAAAATCTCTTAGCTCAATGCATTGAAACATTGTTGGTGGCAAAATTTACATTTGTAAAAGGCTCAAACTTAGACACTTTGGTGTTATTTCCAAATAAGATTTTACCTGTAGTCTATGGACACCTGACAGGATAAAAGAATACATTCTTTTACCACTGTAAAATTTGTCCCATTATCACCTATATTGCACTGTGAATATTTTTAGAGCCTCTGAAATTCTGATTATAAAAGCATAGGATTTTATGTTAGTGAATGTTGTCAATGAGTAAATGTTAAATGTAAACATTTAAAAGAGATCTTAGTTTTCAAGACCCTGCTAGATATTTCTTCATTTTTCAATATGCCGTGAGTTTAAAATTTAAAAAGAAATAGAAATAGCCCTGAATCTTATCTTCCAAATTTTGTCCTTTTTCTTAAATTAAAGAACAATTAAATTTATCAAATAATTACATTTCTGAGAGCCATTTAAAATGTTAACTTTGAATGACAGGATAAACCATTTGAATTATATCAATCAGGGAATATTAAATTATTTGAGGGAATAAAGAGGAAAAAACTGAAGTCACCTATGCATATGAGTGTACAACAATCAGCTTTCAAATTTCTGATCCAATATATTGATCATATTTCACAACTCTTTGATGCATCTATTATTAATTATAATTTTGTATGTGCAGTATCTGTTTGGAAAGCAGTATCATCAATTCTGCTTTCTTTATTAGTATTTTTCTTGAAATGTTCTAGGGATTGGTGGTAACAGCCTCTTTGTTCCAAGGTGTCAAATGTTTTATATTCCAAAATGAGATTATATATGTGTTTCTGCAGATGCTGCAAGTGTACCACGTGGGATGATTGATAACCTTTTATTAATATCATTCTGTGAAGCTCTTAATTTATTCTTACTTCGGAAAATATTCTTTCAGAATTATAATTAAGTAGCATGTTCATGTAGGAAGTTAGTTTTAGTTGCCTTTGGGTAAGGTTTCTTCTTTTCTTCTCTATGTATTTCTATGATGTATCTTTTGGTTGTTTGTAGACAAGTACCACCTCAGTGCCGCAAGAGATAGTGCAGACCTCTACCCACCCCGCCACCCCCTTCTTTTAAGCTTTTCACACTTAAGGAAGAGACCAAATTTAAATTTGGTTACTTGGAAATAATCATTTTTTAAGTTGGTCATATAATATTCTAAATTTGTCATTTTCAGGCACTTAATATGGTGCTTATGTGGGCCAGTTAATTATTCCAAGTGCTTTGCAAATACAAGCTTATTTAATAATAGCAACCCTATGAGGTAGATGTTGTCATTGCCATTTGACAGATGAGGAAACTGATGCAGTGAAAGGCACATAGCTAGTAAGTGGCCACAGTGATTTCAGTTCTTTTAATTTTTTTTTTTTTTTTGAGATGGAGTTTTGCTCTTGTTGCCTAGGCTGGAGTGCAGTGGTGTGATTTCGGCTCACTGCAACCTCTGCCTCCTGGGTTCAAGCAATTCTCCTGCCTCAGCCTCCCAAGTAGCTGGGATTATGGGCACCCACCACCACACTTGGCTAAATGCTTTTTGTTTTGTTTTGATTTTCGTATTTTTAGTAGAGACAGAGTTTCACCTTGTTGGCCAGGCTGTTCGTGAACTCCTGACCTCAGGTAATCCACAGGCCTCGGCCTCCCAAAGTGCTAGGATTACAGGTGTGAGCCACCACGACCGGCCCTTTTTATTCTTGTGAGATGAATAATCTAAATATAAGTCATCTTTATCTTTTAATAGAGACACTACCTTTTAGTAGATAAGTAAAATAATACCTGATTGTTGAAGTCTAGGGGATCCTTTAATATTTGTTAATATATCCAATTTCTATGTGTTTCATTTCAATTCAAATTAGTTACATTTGGCCATTTGTTTGTAGATGTAACAGAATTAGTTGCTAATAGAGGAATAGATTGCTGCAAGTTACTCATGAAATACTGTTCTCTCCTTCAATCAACATATTTGTTCGTCTTGTTTATTAAAAGCATAAGGAACTTCAATAAGTAGGCTACATTTTTATCTTGTCCTTGAACCTGTATTATGATTTCATGTGAATTTGCTACAGTGAACTTTTGATTTGCTGATAGCAGCAAGTTTTTGGAATTGTTATCTCAAATTCTGGTTTGGCATATGCCTTTAAAATGTTATTCAATCTTCCTGTAATCCCAGCATTTTGGGAGGCCAAGGCAGGCAGGTCACAAGGTCAGGAGATTGAGACCATCCTGGCTAACATGGTGAAACCCCGTCTCTACTAAAAATACAAAAAAAATTAGCCAGGTGTGGTGGCGGGTGCCTGTAGTCCCAGCTACTCGGGAGGCTGAGGCAGGAGTGTGGCATGAACCCGGGAGGCAGAGCTTGCAGTGAGTGGAGATAAAGCCACTGCACTCCAGCCTGGGCGACAGAGCGAGACAACGTTTCAAAAATAAATAAATTAATTAGTTTTAAAAAATAAAATAAAATGTTATTCAATCTTATTTGAGTAGCTATTGAAGTCAAGTGCTTATGTAAAATTTAAGATCGTTTATTTTCCACAGTGAAGATGCTAATGCCCTCTTAAAGTTGGTTACCCTGCTTGCTGTTGTCATTTTTAACTGAATAACTAAACTTATTAAACTTCAGTGAGTTATTCATTAGTGAATTGGGGTTGGGGGGAGTGATAAGTAAAAGAAATGCATTTTATTTCCTCCCTTATTGTCAGATTCCTGTTTGAATTCAATGTGTAATAATGGCTTATGGAGTTTACCAGTTTTAGTGGAATCCTCACTGCCTCTTCAACTGCTTTGCTTATTGCTGAAGGATAGAAAAGTGTGGAAGCTTTTGATTAACTCTTATAAATCTACTGAAATGTATCACAGAGTTTACCACTGAGTCATTTTATAACTTTCTCCTTTTTGCTTTTAATATATTTTTTTCTATGTGAATACAGTTATTGAGTTTCTGGAAACTTAAAGTTCGTGGGTTTCTAGAAACATAAATAAAGAACAGATGGCAGTTCACGCCTAACAATGAATACGATGGGAACAGAGGACTTTCATCTTGTCCCTAGTGGTCACCATGTCAGCCATCATGTGGTGGACATCTGTGACTGTTGAGCATAGTCCCTGCTGCTATTTTGGAGTCTCTCAGGTCTGGTGTTAGTCATATTTACATTAGCTTTATTTTTTTTTCCTTTTTCTTTTTTTTTTCTTTTTCTTTCTTTCTTTCTTTTTTTTTTTTGAGACAGAAGAGTCTGGCTCTGTCCCCCAGGCTGGAGTGCAGTGGTGTGATCTCGGCTCACTGCAACCTCCACCTCCCAAGTTCAAGCAATTCTGCCTCAGCCTCATGAATAGCTGGGATTTCAAGCATGTGCCACCACATCTGGCTAATTTTTGTATTTTTAGTAAAGACGGGGTTTCACCATTTTGGCCAGGTTGGTCTTGAACTCCTGACCTCAAGTGAGCCGCCTGCCTGGGCCTCCCAAAGTGCTGAGATTACAGGTGTGAGCCACTGCGCCTGGCCTGCATCAGCTTATTTTCAAGAACTGTCATTCTCAGTCATTTATCAGTCTGCAAAAAATATAATTCTGAATAAATGAGAATTGAGAAGGGTCCCAAATAAGGGTTACTTTCTTTTAAATTGACCCATAGTTGTACAAACTGATTGATTACTGTCGATTGATATGTCTTTATTCATCAGCATTGGGAAATTTAGGAATTGAGCTTCATTAATGAAACCATTTTATTGGACACATAGCTGTAAATTGCATGTCTGTTGACAGAGCACTGTAAACAAAATAAAGCATTAAAATTTAGATAAATTCAGGGAGAAGACCACATGTAAGCATTTAAATCATAACAGATTCCTGGTATTTATGGCTTTAATATCCAAATGATGAGCAACTCCTACGAGTCTATGACAGGGAATTGTCTGGAATTGTATATAGCTATGAATTTTAATTTTGCACCACTGATTCTTAAGTGGGCGGGTTGTCTATTCATCCACATATAATATGAGGCTTTGTTTTGTACTTGTCATTACAATAAACTTTGAAGTGTTTAACACATTGTGTCTTTGTGGAGAAATGGTCATCAAGTAAGACAATTTTAGGGAATACTGAAAATGCTCTTAGCTTGAGATGTAGCAAATTGTATCAGAAACATGTCCCTTGAGAGCAGTGTGGCTTTGAAAATGCTAGGAGTTGGGAGAAAGATTTGTTTTTATTAATGTGGAGAATTGCAAAAGTTTTAGAAAATCCACCCACCATGTCAAAGATCTTGTGTGTAGAATTTTTAAAGAACTGCTATAGTAGAGGGCATTAAGATTTTTAAGTAAAATAAAACAAAAACCTATTGGATGTTAACTTGAAAGATAATTTTAAAAACTTACCCTAAGTTCTTAGAAAGTCTTCTCTACCCTCATGACCTCTGCTATCTATATAAGAAATTAGTGAACTGAATAAATCTTTAGCCTCTCACTATCTTAAATTACCATAGAATTAAAAACTCTAGAATATAATGAATTTATTCTATCAGTACAGCCCATGAGTGAATTTCAAACGTTTAAGTTGTGCCTCAGAGGAATTTTTGTTATGCATCTTTTAAATAATAATATTTTCAATAAATCATTCCTTATAAAAGTCCCCAAATTGTTGCTCTTTAGACATTACTAAAATCAAAAACAACAAATTTAAACATTTACAGTTTGGGACCTAATTTAAGCATGTATCACAGTTTATTAAAGTTATCTTCTGTTAGAAATAGCTCCCTTAGTTCTGGAGATCTGTTGTGCAGCATGGTGACTATAATAATAGTGTATTGTGTACATGACATTTCCTAAGAGAGATCTTAAATGTTCTCACTACACACAAATGAGAATGTGAGGTAATTGATATGTTAGTAGCTTGATTGTGGTAATTATTTCACAATGTGTATATGTATCTCAAACATGTTGTACAACTTAAATGTATACAATTTTTATTTCCCAATTATACCTTAATAAATCTAGAAGAAAATAAAAATGGTAAGTTAACCAAATTTTTTTCTCTCAGTCTCTCATATTTTCTCCCAGATTAAGTAAGGGTACATCTGTGAATCACACTGATTTCATTTTGTTAAAAAGCTTAAGAAATTAAGAGTAAGCTATAAGTAGTTGTAGCTGACAATATAAGAACTGTTAGAAATATGAACTTGCTTTATGAATGCTATATTTATTCTGATTGTGTTGCATTAAACATGTTTATTTTATTTTAAATAAAATATTTTTCTCTTCAAGCTTCTAATAATGTTAAATGTTAAAGAAACAATTATCTGTTTAGGTAGGAATTTGACTTAATCTCATTATAAATAGCATCCTAAAATTTTACAGCTTTGAACAAACATTAAAATTAGTAATAATTTTTCTATTCAAAATGAAAAGAAATGTGAACCTTTTCTGACACAGGTCATAATGAAATAATTCCCCCTTTAAAAAAAAATCTAAACACACATAACCTATGAGAATAAAATTAACATAGCTGCTGTAAGAAGTTTTAAAAAAATTCTTAGCATGTCTTGAAGTAATAAACATGTCTCTGATTAGGTGAATCAATAGACATTGATTTATATATTATAGATACAATTCCAATATTATGAAAAAGATACTGTGGAACTAGAGAATTTTATATCTGACTGGAATACCAGAATAGTGGTAATATTGCTTGTTGAAATTACTGAGGAGAATGATAAGTGATCTTCAGGCCATTTATTTATTTATTTTTAACTTTTATTTTAAGTTCAGTGTTACATGTGCAGCTTTGTTACATAGGTAAACTTGTGTTATGGGGTTTTGTTGTACAGATTATTTCACCACCCATGTATTAAGCCTAGTACCCATTTTTATTTTTCCTGATCCTCTCCCTCTCCCACCGTCTACCTTCCATCCTCCAACAGGCCCCAGTGTGTGTTGTTCCCCCACCACGTGTCCATGTGTTCTTATCATTTAGCTTCCACTTATAAGTGAGAATGCACAGTATTTGGTTTTCTGTTTCTGTATTAGTTTGCCAAGGATTATGGCCTCTGCTTCCATCCATGTCCTGCAAAGGACATGATCTCATTCTTGTGGCTGCGTAGTATTTCATGGTGTGTATGTACCACATTTTTCTTTTTCTTTTCTTTTTTCTTTCTTTTTTTTTTTTTTTTGAGATGGAGTCTTACTCTGTTTCCCAGGCTGGAGTGCAGTGACGCAATCTTGGCTCACTGCAACCTCCACCCCCTGGGTCCAAACAATTCTCCTGCCCCAGCCTCCCAAGCAGCTGGGATTACAGGCATGTGCTACCACGCCTGGCTAATTTTTTGTATTTTTAGTAGAGATGGGGTTTCGCCATGTTGGCCAGGCTGGTCTTGAACTCCTGACCTCAAGTGATCCACCCACCTTGGCCTCCCAAAGTGCTGGGATTACAGGTGTGAGCCACCACACCCGGCCACATTTTTCTTATCCATTATATCATTGATGGGCATTTATGTTGATTCCATGTCTTTGCTATTGTTTCAGTTGTGAATAGTGCTGCAATGAACATACATGTGCATTTGTCTTTATAATAGAAAGATTCATATTCCTTTGGGTATATACCTAGTAATGGAATTCCTGGGTCAAATGGTATTTCTGTTTTTACGTCTTTGAGGAATCCCCACACTGTCTTCCAAAGTGGTTGAACTAATTTACCCTCCCACCAACAGTATATAAGTGTTCCTGTTTGTTTTTTTTTTTTTCTTTTTTTGAGATGGAGTCTTGCTCTGTTGCCCAGGCTGGAGTGCCGTGGTATGATCTCAGCTCACTGCAGCCTCCACCTCCTGGATTCAGGTGATTCTCAGGCCTCAGCCTCCCAAGCAGCTGGGTTTTCAAACATGTGCCACCACGCCTAGCTAATTTTTTTTTTTTTTTTTTGTAATTTGAGTAGAGATAGGGTTTCACCATGTTGGCCAGGCTGGTCTCGAACTCCTGGCCTCAGGTGATCTGCCTGCCTCGGCCTGCCAAAGAGTTGGCATTACAGGCGTGAGCCACCGTGCTTGGCCAAGCATTTGTTTTTTTGCTCAACTTTGCCAGCATCCGTTATTTTTTGACTTTTAAATGATAGCCATTCTGAGTGGTGCGAGATAGTATCTCATTGTGGGTTTTGGGTTTTTTGTTTTTTTTTTGAGACGGAGTCTCACTCTGTCACCCAGACTGGGGTGCGGTGACACAGTCTTGGCTCACTGCAGCATCTGCCTCCCGGGTTCAAACAATTCTCCTGCCTCAGCCTCCTTAATAGCTGGGATTACAGGCACACACCACCATGCCTGGCTAATTTTTCTATTTTTAGTAGAGATGGTATTTCGCCATGTTTGCCAGGCTGGTCTCAAACTCCTCACCTCAAGTGATTCACGCGCCTTGGCCTCCCAAAGTGCTCGGATTACAGGCATGAGCTACTGAACCCAGCCCTCATTATGGTTTTGATTTGCATTTCTCTAATGATCAGTGATGTTGAGCTTTTTTTTTTTTCATATGGTTGTTGTAGACTTATAAATTCCAAGTGGACAGAGATTGTGACGTTTCTTTGTCATTCACATGAGCAGAACACTCAATAAGTATCCAGTGATATTCATGAAAGTAATGTGAGTGATCAGATTTGTGTTGCATGAGATTCTGACAGTACAAGGAACTGATCTGTGTTGTAATCTTCTATCCCATTTCAGGTATGTAAAAATGCTGAGGAAAGAAAAGGGGAGAATATGCATGGGTCAGAAAGGAAAAGATAATTCAAAGCCAGGGCATGAGTTATGCTGCACTGGCCAGGGGGTCATTTGGTCTATACATAAACTCTATGGACTTGGGCTTGGGTTTTAATGCTTGTGTGGTGATAGGAGATAAGGAAATTAGGGATGGGTTTGGTGGAGGAGGAGGAGATGCACTTCTGCACATGTTTGAATGGAGTCAGAATTTACACTGTCCTCATATCACAGGGATCTCAAGATAAGAGATAGTGACAACTCCTGATACTCTTGCAAAGCAAATGCTAAACTATTCAGAAGCTAAGGCAAAGCCTGCACAGATGAGAATCTTATGGAAAGAATACCCCCTCTGAAGATAAGTTCATAATAAAAAGCTCCAGCCACATGAATTAACATGACTAATATATTCAGCAGCCACAAGACAAAGGAGATTTATTACCATAAAACATGAAGTAATGGGACAAATTTAAAGGAGTATAAAATATATTTGAAGTAATTAAGCAGATTTTTAGGGAATATTAAGCATAATTAAATGTAACAAAGGAAAATAAACGCAGAAAATAGGAAAACAAAAAATGATGGTAGATAAAAATTATTAAATCAATTATGCCAACATAAACTCTACAGTTAAAAGATTCTAGATTCTATAAAAAGCAAAATCCAACTGTATGCTGTTTATAAGAAACATCTAAAACCTAAGGATTGTAAACATTGGAAAGCAAGAGATAAAAATAACATACCAGACAAATACCGATCAAAATATAAGTAAGATAATTTTATTATCGTACCAATAATACACTTGAAGGAAATAAGTGCTAAGAATAGGGGAGACCAAATGAGTAGAAATACAAAATAATCTGGAGAATGTGTATTCACCTTACAATGTAACCTCAAAATACATAAAGCAACAATGGACTCAATTACAAATTGAAATTCAGAAATACAAAATCACGTTGAAAGTTTTAAAAACGCCTCTCTCAAAAACCAATATATTAAGCATATGAGAAAATAGATTTGTACAGTGTATTTTAACAAGGTTACTACTATAATGGAAGGAAGGATGGATGGACAGAGATCTCTTCTAGCAATTAGAGAATGTACATTTTTTTCATGCATACTAAAACATGACAAAATTTAAGTATGTACTAGGCCATAAAGGAATTCTCAACCAGAGACCAACATATGGTCCAAATTTCTGTAGTAACTTAATTACAAAAAAATTGTCTTCCTCACAAATATCAAGCACACAAAAACACAAACACAAGAAAATTAATGGGCCAAAGAAGACATTAAAAGAAAGATTATGAAACTTTTAGAATTGAACATCAGCCAAAATACTGCTTGTCAGAACTTGCCGCTAATGAATTAGCATAACTTTAAATGCATATTTTAGCAAAGATTGAAGATTGATGAACCAGGTTTTCAACTCATGACATATGATCTAAGAAAGAGGGTGTATAACAAAGAGAATCCCCGGAATGATGCTGATGGGAGCTCCTAGATGACCAAAATACAATTGACTCTTGCAGCAGGGGTTGGTCAGAGGGCCTGGAGGGATGAATTCAAGGGAGCTGTGGGTGGGGTTAAGTGGGTGATTATCTGATGTGCTCAATCATTTTCAATTAGAGTTAAAATTTGCCAAATCTGAATTGTTTGTAATATTTTCCCCATTCTTATTTTCCATCTATTTTGTGCTTCCATTTTTAAAGAAATATACTTTGTATTTATTTTCTAATTTCTTAGAAAATAGTCATTTTTCCAAAGTTTAAATATTATATTTCCTTTTGAAATTATAGATTCTTTTATTTCTTACTAAATTTAAAGGAAGTACTCTTGTTCTATTTAAAATATATGCTGATTGGACAACTCAATTTCAGATTTGATTTTTCTCTATTTCTACATCATGGGAGTGAATTTAATTGATTTTCTTTTAGTATTTGATTTAGGGTAAACTGTCAGTTTTAATCTAAAGCATTTTTTTGTTTTCTTTGAGAGAAGAAAGTTGACCTGAAAGATTAAACAAAAAGCAAGTGCTGTGCTTACTAACATAAAATGAACAAAATGGACACGTTATGTCATGGGCTGCTTGTCCCCCTCAAAAGACAAAGAGTAAGCCAACCCAGGCCATCCTTTTACTAAGCTAGAACAGCTCGAGTCTGACATTTTTCTTCTCTAAATTTAAAGACTGGCTAATGTTCATAGTGGGTCTTACTTGTCTTTTACACATTTGGTCTCCTGTGTTCTTTTTGGCTTGAGATCCTTGTTAGTGTGCAGTATGACTTTGAGAGAAAAAAAAATCCTTTTCATTTTAGGATGGAATATTTAAAATAAACAGGCTGTGTGTTTATTACTGTGGAAACCAGACAGTAAGTGTGACGGTAAACAGAATGATTTCAAAAGAGTAAGCAGTTAAATGCTAACAGACTGCAATAATACTATCATTATTTCATAAATTTTATTTCTACCCTAATTATTGAAATGCTTTCTGAAGTAATTTTATGATTTACATGTTAATCTTTTGCCATATGTGATTTTTTAGTTTTAGTAGAAACTTAGCCATTTTTTCTATAGAATAGAGAAACTTGAAGATATACTTGGTTATAGCAGTTATGATTGCTAGAATACCTTATGAAGGCATTTGATTCAGGAATGACATGGCATTTTTCATGTTTGTTAACTACCAATAACATACTTAGTAACATTGTGTCTTGTGAGCTTGCTACAACTGTATGCTTTCTTCTGTAGTCTGTTCAAAGGTGCTTACTCTAAAAAAACCTAGTTGTAACTGTCCAACTCCTTTACTATGTAATTTAAAATTTTATATAACACCAGTAGTTATTTCTCTTTGTACTGAATCATTTTGTGCCTTATATGACATTTGGATAAAACTGAGTGAAACCAAATTTGCTGTTAAAAAGGAAAAAAAAATCAGCTTGACTCATTTGTGACAGTTCTACCAACCCCATCAACTGGGTTCTCTGCTCAGGATCTCACAAGGCTGAAATCAAAGTATCAGTTGGGCTGCATTTTCATGTGGGGCTCCGGTTCTCTTCCAAGCTCACATAATTGTTGGCAGCATTCAGTTCCTTGCTGCCTCTTAGCTAACTCTGCTCTCAGCTCCTAGAGGCCATTTTATGGTACCCTCCATATTCAAAGCCAGCAACAGACAAGTTCCTTCAAGTCTAATTCCCACTCCTCATGAAGAACCCAGTCCCCTTTAAGGGCTCACTTGATTTGATCAGACCCAACTGGAATGATCTCCTTTTATTTAAGTCAGTTTTGCCATATAAGCTAACCTAATCATGGGAGTGAATATCTCTCAAATCCACAATTCTCACTCACACCTGAAAGGAGGGGGATTATACGGGGCAGGGCGTATATACCAGCGGGCGGGAATCTTGAGAGCCATCTTAGAGTTTTGGCTACTACTAAGATAATAGAAGCTTTTAGGTAGATATTTCTTCCACTTTCTTTTCTATCTTAAATGTGTCTGTATTCTTTTCCTCCTCTAGTTTCAGAAAAGGAAAAATCCCTATCTTGTTCTAAGTCCGAATTCTCCAGTGCCGGTCTTTCCCATCCTTCCTTAAATTCACTCTAATAGACCTGCACTCATTCCCATTCTTACACTCCACTTTTCTCTTGTATTTTAATTTCCCCACTCTGCTTGCTTCCACTTCTCAACTTACATGAATGCCTAGTCCTCAATTCTTTTCACTCAAGTGAACTTCTCAGCACTTGTCCAGATTTAAGTTTACAATCTTTTCTTGCTGATACTTTTGCAAACAACTGATCTTCTTATCTCTGGTCCTGCCTACTCTACCACCAGAGGAGCATTTCTAAAATGCAGATCTAATTCAATTATTCTCCTGCTTAAAAATCACTGGGGAAGTCCTACCTTGTTGTCCTTATCAGAGGACAAAATATAGTCTATAGATATTTTGTGTTTGGGCCTTACATGTAGAAAACATTTTAAATGAACTTCCAACAATTACAATTGGGAACTTACACTTAAAAAAAAAATCTAAGTTTCTGGCTTCTCTTGGAAAATTAGAAATCTGGGTATACTGGCACACAATTCCAAAAGATAACAATCTACTACCACTACCTAATAGCTGCCCTGAAGATGGGAAATGCTCTCTGTATTTTGCCATTCCATCAACTTGACTCATTTGCCGTACCTACCTGTCCTCTGAAGATACTTGACTTTGTAAGCCCTAGCCTGGAAAATAAAGGCCAAATGCCTTAGCCTAGCATTCATGATTTTTTTCTAACTTTATCCCATCAACTCTTTTCAAATTGTTGTTTTGGTTACATGATTGCATTTCAGTTTCTCCTGCCAGATTATAATTTTCACAAGGACAGAAAGTATGCTTTATTTATGCATTCATGCTAAGCCTCTAGCATGATTTCTAACACATACTATTGATTTGAATAGTACTAATTTTACTTTCACTGACGTATTGATTTTATGTGTCCATATAATTGGTCAAAAGGCAATATGGACAAAATATGTTTTTACTTTCTAGCACTATTGAAAAATCTTAAAATGTTGTTTTCTGTCAAATGAATCAATAGAATTATTTTGATTTGCAAAGGACAATACATAGTAGTACTATGATGGTACAGTGGGTGGTGGAGAACCTTCATTATTTTCAGTGTCTTGATCCTTTCATTCTTTCATAGGAGTTTGGGAATTGGGACTTCCCTGTCAGTGTTTATATGTTCAGTCTTCTGAACTACACTGAGAGAAAATAGGGCTTCCAGTTGGCTCTGGATCCTTCTTTTGCAAGATATTGAAAAGCTTTCTGTTGACATCCATCGATCAGTTAATATTTATAACTTTTCCAAACAAGCCTTCTAACCATTGCTTGTCCCTAAAGACCATTTTAAACTGTGAATCTTTAAGGTCTTTTTGAGAATAATAGGTTTGGTTATTGGAAGATTTAATGCAGATGATTAATAGAATTTCCACTGTAGTTCTCTCTGTTTATAATTGAATTAACACATAAAAATGTAAATGGGATTATTAAACTATAAATCTAGAAGGATGAAGTTTATAGTGCTCTGTGTATTTACTTTGTTCTGTTAGATTTTGAGTATGGTGTTTCCTCTGCAGACTTTAATTCTATTTTTCAGACATGTCACATTAAAGTATAAGAAAATACATGTCTTTATTCAATATGTCACAAAAGTATTTTTTCATGAAATTAGAAGTAGCTACTCATGTTAAAAAGAATCATAGATTGCTTTTGGCAATGAGAGGAAATCATTTAATTCAAGACAGGGTGGTTCCTCTAGGTTACTCACTGATGAGACAACAACAATGGAAAAATTTGCATCATTGCTCTCTTTCCTCTCTGTTAAATTGTGAACAAGTTCTTTCTGTGATCCTGTTTTTGTGTTGTGTCTCACAAATTCAAAACATTCTGGACTCTTCCTTTTTTCAGTGGCTGTTCTTAGTGATGACATCAGTTGTCTACAAGAAAATATTTGCACTTGTGTTCTAACAACAGTCACTGTTTGTTATAGTCTCTGGTTTTATTTTCAGATATTGTTCCAGGATTTCTTTATTTTGTTATTTATAATATGAAATCCATGTTTATGAAAAAAACATGAATAAAAGTCATTCTTATTTTCTTTACATCTTTCTCTTGCATTACCTAGAGTATGCCCAGGGCACTGTAGGGGAATTTGGGAAATGAGCTATCCTTAGGATATAACCACAGATTCAATAAAGCTGAAATACTAGCCATTGCCAGTCTTGATGTTGGGAGTCTGATTATGTTCCTATATGTTGACATTTTGATTAATGTTTTACGCTGCTACTATTATCCCCCAAATTTGTTCATCTACTCTGAGATTGCTATACTTGTGAAAAAACACGGTATTAATGAATACTCTTTTATAACATTTCTCATACTATATAAGTTACTTCTTTATAAATCTCTTGCCTGCTTAACTGAGTGTTACTACACAGGGGAAAGGGTGTTGCTTTAGGAAGTTGCTTTTGAGGGAACTGTTCCAGATATTCAACTTCAAGAAGTCTTTCTAGATTGTATAGTCAAGTTAGATTTTCTAAAATCATAAAGAAGAGATCACCAGTGACCATTGAAGATGGAAATGTATTAGAAATATTCATACATATCAGAGTATGTTAGTCAGGGGAAGGTAAGGACAGAATGGAATATAGCCACTTTTGGCCTCCAGTCACACCTGGCATCTAGTTCCTATAGGACTAATATGTAGTGAACTAGAATATTAGATCTGTCCAGTTGAGAACAACCTAACTAGGAACTGCCTTCTGTAGTTTCCCTAAAATCACCACTTGATTGTTAATTCTAAGGGGACATGGAATGTGACAATTGCTGTTACTTAGTACTTAGAATCCCTTTGGGAAGAGTTTAGAACAAGTCTCTTAAGAAGCAGTCAGCTACCTTTATACTCAGTCTTTCTGTGATTTTCTTTTTCTTGTGTGTTTATCCAATTTAGCAATACCTGGGTGTCAAATTTATTTATCCAAAACCTGGACTTCTAAAAACTTACCATGAACTTGTACATGTTTACTCGGTTTAAAAATTAAATGAACCTGTGGGAGCTACCGTGCTAAGAAGGGGCTTTGACTGTGACAGGCACACCAGGCATCATGGTGTCATCTTCAACTTATAGCCAAACACTGATTTATAAAATTATACTAATTTTTAAGAATGCATATTCTGTAGTTTTGTGAACTGGTTTATTAAGGGGAATGCCTTTTCCTAGTTAATTTATTTTTAACCATGGCTATAAGTGCCAAAGCATTTCTCATAATTGAACATAAATCTTTGATCTGGCCTTTTGAGTGATACAATCAAAGAAAAATCTTTAAAAATTTTTTTTGAAGAGTCGTTTTGTATCTGATACTGTTTCTCTATGGATATCACTTCTCATATAACTATGTATCTTAATATAGACTATATTGTCAGAGTAATCCTTTCCCTTCCACTGCTTCTTTAGTTTTAGGAATTTATACTTTAGCACTCCATTGAATGAAATGTGGTTACTAAATTGTCAAAATACAGTAACTGCTGTACTATTTGAACATTTTTTGGCCATGGATAAGTGTTCTCATTTGAGATTGCTTTTTGAAAAACAATTCGCTGAAGTGGAACTGGAGTAATGCACAACAGTTGATTTCTTTTGGACTTAACTGAAACTATGTTTCTGGTTTTAAAATTTGCTAACACCAAGGCACTGTTCTATGTAACATGACTTATTTACATAGTTACCACACAACAGTTGGTATTTCATACAGTAACATAATTTCATTGCAAACAGTAATTTTAGTACTGCAATAGTTCAACAGTTTTGTCTGGCTACATATGTAGTTAGAGCTTTTAAAAGTTAAAAATTCATGGTGTGGTATTATAATCATAGTTTGTATTAATTTTTATGAAAATCAATATATTAGCATTGTAGGCCTTATACTACTACTCTCTTTTCATTTATATAAAGCAGATAGTCTGATTAATCGTTCTATAATGTAGACTGCCTTGTTCACATACATGGTAGGAACTAAAGAAAGAATGTTCAATTGAATTTCAAGTTTTCTTGTAGCATTCTACAGAAGCTTATTGAGTACACCTCATATATTCCTTATATTAGTTTAGTCTTAGATTCAGAGTTTGAAAACTGAACTTACTACTATTAACTCCCTCCTGAAACTTCTGTATTAACTGACATAATGAATGAAACATAGTAAGTACTTAGTAAATGTTATTTAGTAGTAAATGTTACCTGGTGGTAGTGGTAGTAGAATACATTATGGTATAATTTTTAAACTTTTCTTGTATCTCATTCCAGTTATAGCTCCTTATATTCAATGCTATTGAAACTAAAATGATAAAGACCTTTACATCCCATAATAGGAATATCTGGAAAAAATTTTTAAAAATATGTATTTAAAAAGTGACAACATGAATGAATGAATAAGAGTTATTAGTAAACTTTTGTAAATAAACTATTAGTAATTCAAGTTATTTTGACCATAGTAAATGCTGCTAATTAAAATTGGAGACTGGATGCCGTGGCTCACACCTGTAATCCCAGCACTTTGGGAGGCCAAGGTGGGAGGATTACTTGAGGGCCAGGAGTTTGATTTTTTGTTTTTGTTTTTTTTTGAGACATTCTTGGTCTGTCGCCCACACTGAAGTGCAGTGGTGTCATCTCGGCTTACTGCAACCTCCACCTCCTGGGTTCAATCGATTCTCCTGCCTTATCCTCCTAAGTAGCTGGGACTACAGGCATGCACCACCATGCCTGATTAATTTTTGTATTTTGAGTAGAGACGGTGTTTTGCCGTGTTGGCCAGGCTGGTCTCGAACTCCTGATCTCAGGTGATCTGCCTGCCTTGGCCTCCCAAAGTGCTAGGATTATAGGCGTGAGCCACCATTGCCCGGCTGAGGCCAGGAGTTTGAAACCAGCTTGGGCAACATAATGAGACCAGGAGTTCAAGATTACAGTGAGCTATGATTCCACCACTGCATTCCAGCCTGGGTGACAGAGTGAGACCCTGTCTATATAAAATAATAATAATAATAATAATGATTTAAAAAATAAGATAAAATCACATTAATTATGTCAGTAATAGCTACCCGTATCTTGATTATTGATTAGCGTAAGTTATAATCTATACTAAACATTAGAAACCTTTGGCCAATGTTTGTTATGGTTGTTACTTAGACATAATTCATTTACTCTTTTATCAACCTTCAAATACTTTTTGGGTGCTAAGGATATGCTGATAAAGAAGTTAAATATCTTTCATGGGACTTGCTGATTGTGGGTAGATGGTTAGACAGAAAATACATAAAGTAAAAAAATAGTCAAAGTAATTTTAGTGAAAATTGTTGTGAATACTTGATGACAGATGAAGGTGCCACCTCTTATGTACCCATAAAAATTAAAAATAAAAATAAAATTTTAAAGATTGAGCAAGGTGCAGGGTAGAGGCCGTGGAAGGCTTATCTGTACTTTCTTAAGAAGGAAGGTTAAGTATGTGGTAGTTACTTTCTAGGGACATGTTTTGTGACACAATGCCTCCCTTTCCTGGGCTAATTTGCAAAGATATATGTATTTAGAAGTAATTTTAAGATACAATAGGCATATAAAGTATTGGAATTTTTTTTTTTTTTGACAAGGTCTCACTCTGTCACCCAGGCTGGAGTGCAGTGGCACGATCTTGGCTCACTGCAGCCTCCACTTTCAGCCTCAAGTGATACTCCCACCTCAGCCTTCTGAGTAGCTGGGACTACAGGGGCACGCCAGCACACCTGGCTAATTTTCCTGTTTTTTAAAGTGTTGGGGTTTCGCCATGTTGGCCAGGCTGGTCTCAAACTTCTGAGCTCAAAACATCTGCCCGCCTCAGCCTTCCAAAGTGCTAGGATTACAGACATCAGCCACCACACCCAGCTGGGAAATGATTCTTGGTACCAGTTAATGAAGTTGCATCATAATCTATTTTTAGATAAAATTATTAAAATATTTGTTTCTTAATATTATAAATAAAGCAGTAATATTAGCATATATGATAGACATGAGACACGTTTTAAATCAGCAAATTACCCCCTTATCAATTTTCTATTTGTAATTGCCTTTAAATATTATTTCTGTAAAAGGACTTAAATGCTAAATATGCTGTTTTTTCTACATTACCTATAAATTGATTTTTGTTCCTTTATTTTGAAACAGCCTTTAAGGTAGGTTTCAGTAAAAGCAGACCAAATGTGTGCAAATGCATTGACTTTAAAACAAGAATGGGGACAAGAAATAAGGAAGAGGAAACCTTCTGACTCAGAAAAGCTTTAGTTTTAGCATAAGCCTTAATTTTTAGTACTTAACGGAAGGAGAATTGATTACGTTGCTCCCAAGCTCTGTTAGGTAGTAAAGCAGTAACACTATCAGTTTGTTCATCAGAATAGCTTTAATACCTTTTTTTTTTTTTTTTTGGTTTTGATTCTTTAAAAACATATCGAGCTTGGGTCTTATTATATGAAGGGCATTGAGAAACGTGATGAACAATATTT
Source organism: Homo sapiens (assembly GCF_000001405.40). Taxonomy (NCBI): domain Eukaryota; kingdom Metazoa; phylum Chordata; class Mammalia; order Primates; family Hominidae; genus Homo; species Homo sapiens. The sequence goes on from NC_000005.10 coordinate 83,177,534, forward strand.
TATACAGCAATTATGAAGCCATTTCTGCATGTAGCTTTTCTTTATATTGAGACTCAATTCATTGAAATTCCAGGATAAAAGTAATTCTAATAGGGTCAGAGTGATGTGATTTAATTATGTAGCAAATAGATTTGTTCAGTGGTGTACAGAAACAAGAAAAGAGAACGTGAAGATTCAGGTTGGAATGGAGGGCTACAAATGTTTCAGAAAAGTGGATCATGGGCTTTGAAATGGGTAGTTGTGAGAGATAAAGCTTGAGAGGTAAGGTTCTGACCAAGAAGCCTTGTGGGCCAGGAAGGCTTTAGAATCTTAAGCCAGGATTGACATAATCAGATTTACATCTTAAAATATCACTCTGATAAATGTAGAGAAAGAAACAAGTCACTAGAAGAGTCAGAGAGCCTAGTTGGAAGGCTGTCACAGTAATCTAAATGGCATGCTTTGGGGATTGGAACTAAGATAGCTGTAATTGAGATTGAGATAAGGGGGACAGAGTGGAGAGCTATTTCAGATATAGAATTGACAGAAACTGGTGACTAAATGGATGAGGGAGATAAGAAGGAAAAGCAAAATCAAGGATGATGCTCCAGATTTTAAATTGGGTTACTAGATGGGTAGAGGTTTCGGTTACTGGGGGTAAAGCAGGTTTTTTTGGGAAATGGATGCGTTTAGTTTTCGATATGGTAAATTTGAGGACCTTTTGCGACATTCAATTGGAGACAGCTAGTAGAAAGCTTAGTGTATGGATATGAAGGTCAGAATACTGATCTGGACTAGAGCTACAGACTTGAAATTCATCAGCATATTGTTGGTGGGTGAAATCTCATGATCTCAAACTTGAGATCACTCAGGAAGAGAATGGGGAGAAAGAAGAGGAGTTGAGAATAAGAATGTAGTCAGCCATCACAGGGCTGGCACCAAAACACTACTACAAAAAGGAGACTGATCAAATGCGATAGATATAGGATGAAAACCAGGCAAGTATGGTGTCAGAAGCCAAGCCAGTGCAAGCAAAATAAAAACCGTGACATGTCTGTTGGTTTTGAAAACAAAGGGCACTGATGGCATTGGTAGAGAGAATTTCAGTGGAGAATATAGAAAGGGGAGGAGGAAGGCAGTAGTAAAGGGGGATTAAGGGAGATTTTTAAAATGCAAAACATTTGAATTTGCTTAAACATTCAAAGGAAAAATGTACCAAAGTATTAGAGTTTGCAAATGCTGGAGAGAGGATAATCGACATCAGAGTTTTTGATGTGGTTTTCATGACCTGGTCTTGGGTTACTTCTCCAGCCATGTCATTTCCTACTTGCCTTCTCAATCGCTATTTCTCAGTTGTAATTTTTCAGTGACTCCAATGTGTAACATTCACTGTCACCTCTGAGGCTTTGCATGTGGTACTCCTGCCCAAAGTACTCCTTCTCTATTCCTTATTCCCCTTGCGTGGCTAGCTCTTATTTAGCCTTCAAGTCTCAGGTTGATACCGGTTTACTCCACTAGAATAGATTGACCTGCCATGTACTACTACAGCACTTGGCATTTCTCATAGTAACAGCCATCAAGCTTTAATATAATGACTGATTTAATTATCCATCTCTCCTTCTGGTTAATGTGTCATGAAGAGAAGAAGCATTTTTAGTGTTTTCACATTATCTGTTATTTCTCTTCTCAAATGTCTAACACCTAACATATTCTTAGGTATGTATCGAACAAAGATGTGAAAAATGAGTGGGATCCCTAAAGAGTCAGAGCGAATGCTATCTAGAGCAATGTTGAAGAAATTATTCCTGCAATGTAATAAGAGCATGTCTCTCTTTTTTAAATATGAGGCAAAGACATGAAGGTGATGGAAAAATACTTGGTTTATCTTTGAAAAAGCTAGGGGCGGGGTTTGCCAGGGAAGTATATTATGGAAGTGCAGGGTTTCACAGAATCCAGTGGGATTAAGTAGAGCTGTGAATACCTGGGGTCAACGTTGTAAACAGTCGTTAGTTTTCCAGCATCTGCTTTAACTTCTTGGCTCTGTTTGCAGACTGACTTTGTCTGCTTCATTGTTCTCATGGCCAAAAAAATGTCTTCTATGCCCCAGCTCTGTGAGAACCCACCAGCACCCAGCACTTACCCTCTACCAGTTTGCATTATTCACAGAGAACTGGATAGGCTCAACCCATCATAAATTGTTTCTTCTACAGTCAGATTAGTCTAATCCTGCTCCACTCAGCTCTGGCCAGGGGACTCATGAGATGACCTCTAGGGAGGTCAACCTGGATTATAAGGTGATGAATTTTCTGAGAAAAAGATTTAGAAAGGCAGGCCATAATTATCTTTAATTAATAGAATATAGATAAGAGTCTAAGTGTCAGGAATCTGAAAGAGTTCATACTTGATCTGGAATTTTTTTACTGAATTAGAAGGCAAGGTCATCTGCTAAATATAGAAAAAGTGTAAGAATAGTGGTGAAGGTTTGGAAAATCTGGTGCAAGGAATAGTTAAAGGGCCTTACCAGGAAAAACCAATAAGATTGCTCAGAGAAGCAGCTGATAATAGTGAATTTTTATCATTTCTTCAGTAGCTAGTGTTCCTTTGCCCAGTTATAGAAATGAGAAGGCAGATGTTTATATTGATCTAAATTGAAAGGGATTGTGGTTGAGGATGTTGTTAAGAGTGTGGTTGGAGAAGGATTTCATGGAATCTGGATTATATGGAGAAGCTTTGCAGGCAGAAATGGACTTCAGAAAACAGATGATCATAGTATAGGAGAGAGTATTGTAATAGAAGTCAGAGATAAGAGTGATATGAGGGTAAAAGGTTATAGTCAGAGTGGGGAACACTGGAATTAAGATTTGGAGGAAATCCAAATATATGAAATGACAAGGCTGAGCTAGGACTATGCTCATTAAAACATTTCAGCGGCTCAAATTTTTAAGTGCTCGCTCAGAAGTAGGCCCCAAACTCTGTATCTACAGGGAGTTATCAAGTGTCTTTCTCCACTTTGAGAGAACCCCAAAATTGTTTCTGCTAATTTCAGATGTGACTTTGACTTTATATTCTTGGTAACAATAAGAAAGAACCTACCGAATAGCATTTTTTTATTATTGTACATTAGGTTGCTATAATGTATTGGCCAAAAATAATTTTGCGTTTGGCATAATTAATGTTTAGAAGTTCTTCTAGAAAATATTTGGCTGGACACCATTAGCTTTTTCAAGAGGTCATTCATTCTATTCTTGCCTGGAGTATTGATGAGCTATGTTACCAGACTATGAAAGAATACTTTTATATTCATTTTTGATGTTACTCTATCAACAGTGAATGTTCTGTAGCCATAGCAAATAACCTAAAAGTAGAACTAGTTTACCTTATCTCAAACACTATTTGTTTTTGTTTTGTTTTAATTTTTATCTTATCAAAGTTATGTATGCATGATAATTTAAAAAGTCAAATAGTTTCTACAAACCTTATAATGAAAAATTGGCAGTCCTGTACCTGTCCCTCCCTGTCCCTGATTGTACTTTAAACTTTCTTTTTTTTTTTTTGCGAATTCTATTTATCGCGAAGGTTCTAAATAACTCCCTTGTTCCATTTCCTTTTTTTTTCAATTTTAGATATTATCTATTATCTTTTTATTATGGAAGATGAGTAATTTTCTTAATTTATTACCACCTCTAACAAACCTTCTCAATCTTCCCTTAATTTCCAGTATAGTTATGGCTTAATTTTTTATATTTTAATTGTACTAATATTGAGTATTTTATTATGACTCTTTAAATATTATCAACATTAGAGGTATATAGTGAACATTTCCTTTCTTGAAAAACATTCTAGAGTTTTTAAAAAGTAAATATCAGTTTTTTGTGTATCAATCTCTAAATTATATCCAAATTCTCTGACAGATGTATTAGTCTTCTCTCGGTATTTAGACATGGTATAAAATGCATCAGTTCTTTTTTATGCGTTATTCATTTATTGTGTAATTCTCTGTCCTTGTTACTTTGGAGTGATATGTCTTTAAGCATCTGCATGCCTGTTTTCTGAGCTCTCCTTTCACTCTCTATATTAAACAAGGTTCAATCAGGAAACTAAACCAGAGTAGGTACTTCAACAAAGATTTAATATAGGGAATTACCAGGAGAACTGAAACAGCCAAAAGGGAACACAGGTAAGCCAGAGATTAATGATTACAGGAAGAGGCTACCACACCAAAGCAGTGGGAACAAAAGTGAAAAAATTGGCATTACCAGAACCAATGAGCTTACAGGAGATGTCTGGTGGAGCTCAAACTTGGACCTCTGAATAAGGGAGTGCTTGGCTGTTGGTGCTTAGTCAGAAATACAGCAAATGTGCCTGTAGCGCCAGGGTATGGACTGCTGAAGTGGGGTTGCTGCCTATCGATATCTTTGAGGTTTGCAATATGGCAATTCTGGGAGAGCCAAAACAAGTAGGAAGTTGAAGCAAAATGCCCTTGTTGAAGCAATGCTGATAGATATATGTTAAAATAAAAACAACTCCCTTTCCCCAAACAGGAAGAAAACCTCTGGTTTTCTCATCCTTCTTTGTAATCTCCTCTAGTGTATCCTGTTACCAGAATGGAAGGGAAAACCAGGTGATATTAATGAGCAGAGTATAGAATAGTTGCTGTGGCCTGAAAGATAACCAGCACAATCCACAGCTACTCAGCATATTTAATACCCTCCTCTGCATATTTGAACTTCCATACGAAACAGCAATAACAATTTCCTGCTTCTGCTTAACAGGATCCAACTGTTTTTTCTTCAAATGAAGGTGCTCTCATGCTCACTCACATAAATAAATATATAGTATCCAACTCTTGGTGTATTAATTTATCTTCTAATTCAGGAAAAACACTCCCAAAAACCAAACATCTAAATGTTGTGTAACTTAAAGCCTAATTTATTAAACTAACTGTCACCAAAAATCTTTATATAAAATTAACACAGGGAAAAGGAAGGAGGACAGAAGAAATGAGGTAATCTATACAAATCCCTTCACCATTGTTTTGAAGATTGTTTTTCTTTCTTTTGTACTGAATTCCAATATTTTTTGACCCAATGTTGCAGTGTTTGAATGTTTGTGTCTCTCCAAATTCATATGTTGAAGCTTAAGTCTTCTTATCTTAATGGGATGGTATTAAGAGGTGTGGCTCTTGGGAGGTGATTCGGTACTGAGGGCCAGGTCCTAATGAATGGGATCAGTGCTCTTATAAAAGAGGCCTGAGCGAGGCTATTGGCCCTTTGTTTCTCCTGTCATCCTGTGTGGATGCAGCAAGACGGTGCCCTCTGTGAGGAACAAGCCCTCTCCAGATGCCAAATGTGCTAGCACCTTGATCTTAGACTTCCTAGCTCCTAGAACTGTGAGCAGTTAAGTTCTGTTGTTTGTAAAAACCCAGTCTAAGGTATTTGGTTATCAGAGCCTGAATAGACTAAGACACATCTCTTACCTTTTCTTTGTTTATTTTGTCACACTAATGGAACATATTCTCAAATAGCTTCTTATCTGAATACGTATTTATCATTTTAAAGGCATTAATTCATTGACTTCTGGTATCTAGCACTGTTATAAAAATCCAGCACCATTCTAATTCATCATCATTTATCTGTAACCTATTTTATTGCTCTGAAAGCTTTTAGAATCTCCTTTTTTTCCCCAGTCTTCCAAAAATTAATGATGCTCTCTCTTGATATGAATCTTCTTTTAATCTGGTGTGCTAGGTTCTTAGTGGACTCATGTCTACACATTTTTTAATTTATACATTTTTTTCTTTTATGTCTTTTAAAATTCTGTCTCCTCTAACTCTACGGTGTCAATTTTAAGCTTCCTGTAATGACCCCGTCTTACATTTTGTCTCCTATTTTTCATTTATTTGTGTGTGTGTGTGTGTGTGTGTGTGTGTGTGTGTGTGTGTGGCACATCAAGCCTGTAAGTGTGGTTTCTACCTAAGCTCTAGCACTCAATATGTGGACTAGAGTGTGTCCTCTCAGGAAAAGCCATGTAAACATGGATCCAGTCCTATTTGAGTATCCGCCAGTTTCTGTCTGCTTTTGGTGATTTTCCAGTCCCTTGAAATAGTGTTTTTGCTGTTGATTTTTGTTTGTTTGTTTTGTTTGGTCCAGAGTTTATAATTGTTATCTTTAAAGGGTTAGTGTAATACAACTTACTTTGCCATTACCTGAACTGGAACTACCTCATTGTTAACTTTTCATTATTTGTTTTTGGCAAGAAAATTCAATTAAACGCATGGTTACCGTCTATCATACTCCCTAGCTTCTCCCAGTCTCATTAAAAATAGATGTTAAAAAGATGCTAATAGATGTTAACTATCTTATGGGCAATTTTCTTATTAAAAACACTTTGAAGATTTTAAAATGTTTTTTAGACCAATAATTTGTTTTTATCTTGTCTCTAGGTAAATAAGATTATATAGCAAAGTAAATATTACAAGTTTTTCAGGGGAATATTTTGAATTGAAATGTATTTTTAGAAGTTTGGCATTAAATCGTAAGTAAAGTTTAAAAAAATTTTTAATAAATATTTTTGAATGAAAAAATTTGGCAGAATTTTTAATCCATTGTTTAGAAAGACAATTAAGGTTTGAAAAATTTCTTAGAAATAAGAAACCAAACATAAAATTAACATACTAAAATTTGATATTTTATTTCAATTAGGAATTTTAAAATACTTATTTTTATGATTTTCAAAAGATCACTAGTTTTGAGTTTATTCATTAATGATAAATAATAATGGCCTTATAGTTAACACAGTAAGTTTTTATGAAAATTTTTTTTTCAAATTTTTATTGTCAGTGTAATAATGCCTTTTAACCAATCATGCTATTTCATCAAATAAATTTAGTTCAGTGACTTGCATGGGGGAGGGGTGGTGGAGATTGGCCTTAATAGCTGACATTTTTTAATGGGAAGGAGCTAGAATTTTATAGTTAGGAAAAAAAATTACTGTTTTAATTTAGTTTTTTTGGAGAATGTTATGAGAGACCTAATTGTTCCTAAACAGGGAAAACTGGTTTAAATTGAGAAAAAAATTACTCACAATATTTTACACTACGTTCTATTAAGTTATAGTTTCTGAGTATCCCATAGCATGATAATTTTATCATATTATAACTTTTGGCCAGTATTTGCTTACTCACTGTTTCTATGAGCAACAGAATCTACGCAACAGCAAACAGTGATCCCAGCCCCAGTTAGATTTTTCTCTTTCATAGGCACTCTGGAATGCTACTGTGTTAAAGTAATCAACCATTTTAAAAAGACAAATCAAATTTAAACTGACTCGAGAGTGTAGTTTTTTTTTACCCATAGATGTTATTTTTGTTGTGGTTTATTTGCAAAACCCTTCACCAGTCATCTTTAGATATTGTTCACAAGTCTCCTATGGGATAAATCATTACTTTGAATACAGAGGTTACAGTTGTTTATTCAGGATCCCACTATAAATTGAGGTCAATACTGGGATTCTAACGTAGAGATTTCTAAGGTTCCCATATACTATAATTGTTTTGATACGACCAAGGGATAAAAAAAGAATAATAAAAGACTGAGTAGGCACTTACATTTATATTTCTACTTACAGATTATTTAATAGTGTTATCAGCTATAGTGTAGGACGTCTGAATGAAGAGTAAACGATGGAAAACATAACCAAAGGACATAACTATGGGCATCTTGATTAGATGAAAAAACATGATGGTCCTAAATGGGGGGAATTCAATATTACTTTGTAATTCATTTTGGAAAGAAATTAATTCCTTTCACAATAATTTGAAAATTAGTGTAGTTCCAAACCACATGCCCAGCATTAAAAAAAAAAAACAACACTTTATTAAGGTATGATTGATATACAAAAAAAGTATGTATTATATATATATATATATAAAACTTAATGAGTTTGTTGGTAAGTATACATGTGTGAAACCAGCATTTTTCTTTAAGTTGCTGTATTTTGTTTATTTTGGTTTGGATTTGTCTGAAATTCGTAGTCAAAATTTCATGGGATGTTCTTGGTAAAACTAGATGATGAATGTTTGAAAAAAGAATTAAGAGATGGAGTTTATAGTTCTTAATAATAAAACATAGTATAAAGCTATAATAATTAAAACAGCATGTTATTGGTAAATGGATAGAAACTAATGAGACTGAATAGCAAGCTCAAAAGCATACTTAAATATATATAAATACTTAATTTCTAATAGTGGTATTTCATATGAATAAGGAGAGAATAGATTGCTAAATAACTGGTGAAGAAGCATTGGTTAGGTATTTGGAGAGAGAAATTAAAAAATGAAAATATAGATGAATAATCACTTTCTTTGATAGGCAAAGACCTTAAAACAAAACTATTTTTAGACTTAACAACTTTAAAATGTAACTGCTCCACAAGTAATATTGCCAAACCAGAAAAATACTTGCAGCATGTATGACAAAGTATTAATTAACTTCACTGACAAACACTTTCTGAACTCTTACTATGAGCATAGAGCTTATGCTTGGGGTGGGGAAAGAAAACAATAAACATTTACAAATTAGATAATTTCAGATAATCACAACTTTTATGAAGATTATAAAATATTGTTTCTCAATACTTGTACTATTGGCATATCTTTATAGGACTGTTGGGAAGATTCTAGAATGATTATATCCTAGTTAAAGAAGCCAAGGAAAAAATCTCTAGAAAAGTAATATTGAGCAGAGAATTGAATATAGTAAAGGAGAAAACCGTGAATTTTGAGGAGAACATTCTTGGAAGGATCTGCAAAGACCCTCTATTAGTGTTTTGTTAAAGGTGAAACAAAGTAGTACACACTTAGTGGTTTCCTTGTCCCATCCAGCTCCTAGAGGCTTTCAGCATTCCTAAACTTGTGACTACATCACTCCCAATTTCTGCTTTATTCGCACATCACCTTCTTACTGTGATCTCCTTCCTTTCTCTTGTAAGGACCATTGTGATTACATTGGGCCCACCTGGCTAATTCATGATTCTCTCTCCCTGTCTCAAGATCTTTAAGCTAATCACATCCCTAAAGTCCTTTTTGTCACATAAGGTAATATTCACAGGTTCTGGAAATTACAACACAGACATGGGGGAGGAGGGCTACTATTCAGCTTCCCACAGACCCTGATTCAGTGTGTTCATTTTCAATTGCTACAGTAGCAAATTACCACAGACTTAGTGCCTCAAAACAACATAAATTTACCAAACTTAACATAAATATATATTTTACTTCTGTGGCATAAAAGTTCAATATAGGTCTCACCTAGCAAACATCAAAATGTCAGTAGGGCTGTGTTCTGGAGGCTCTACAGGAGAACCCATTGTCTTGTCTTTCCCCGTTTCTAGAAACCACATACATTTTTGGCTCATGGCCTGCTTCTTCCATTTTTTTTTTTTTTTTTTTTGAGACGGAGTCTCGCTCTGTCGCCCAGGCTGGAGTGCAGTGGCGCGACCTCGGCTCACTGCAAGCTCCGCCTCCCGGGTTCACGCCATTCTCCTGCCTCAGCCTCCCGAGTAGCCGGGACCACAGGCGCCCGCCACCACGCCCGGCTAATTTTTTGTATTTTTAGTAGAGGCGGGGTTTCACCGCGTTAGCCAGGATGGTCTCGATCTCCTGACCTCATGATCCGCCCGCCTCTGCCTCCCAAAGTGCTGGGATTACAGGCGTGAGCCACCGCGCCCGGCCCTCCATTTTTAACGGTAGCAGTTTTGTATCTCTCTGTGTGTATCTTCACCGCTTATCCCTCTGACTGCAGCCAGGAACGTGTCTCTAATTTTAAGTATTTATGTGAATACATTGGGCTCACCCAGAAAATAATGAAGAATAATCTCTCATCTCAAAGATTATAACCTTAATCTCATTTATAAAGTCCCACTTTACTGTGGAAGGTAACATCCCAAGTTTCAAGAATTAGCTTGTAGACATCTTTGGGGGAACATCATTCTGTCTACCACATTCAGGAATATTTTGACCTATTCAAGCATAGAAAGAAGGCAAGTGGCTGGGGCACAGCAAAGGGAGGGAGAATGGTGAGAGATGAGATTGGCACGGTAGTCACAGGCCAGACTGCTGTCCATTGGAGAGTATTTCAAGAGAGAATAGGATGTCATAAATTAAAGAAATAGATCAACATTAATCTACAGAAGTTTCTGGGATGATAAAAAGAATGAGATGATAGATTCTGTATCTTATCTGTTTTTGGTGTATCCGTACTGCCCAGTACAGCAACCATTAGCTATATGTGGCTGTTGAACACTAAAATGTGACTTGTGTGACTGAGGAACTTACTTTTTAATTTAATTAAATTTAAATTTAAATAGTCATGTGTGACTAGTGATGACTGTATTGAACAGGACAGACAATAGATACATTTTGGGAGAAGTTTTGCAATGACAGGAGCAGAAAAATGGACAATAGCAACTAGAGGGATATGGGATTAAGGGTGTTTTTTGTTTTGTTTAGATTGGTAAAATTAAAGCATATTTGTATTCATTATGTATTATTGAGTAACACATTACCACAAATTTAGCAGCTTAAAACCATATACATTTATTAATCTCACTGTTTCTGTGGGTGAGGAGTCCAGGTATGGCATTGCTAGGAGTCCTAGCTTTTACATGAGTTTGTAAAAGCTGCAATTAAGGTGTTGTCCAGGGGCTGTGGTCTCATCTCAAGGTGAAGGATCTGCCTTCAAGCTCAGTGGGGTACTGGCACAGTTGAGTTCCTTGTAGCCTTTTGGACTGAGGGCCTCAGTTTCTTGCTGGCTATGATGGTTAATTTTATATGTCAGCTTGGCAGGGCTGTGGTGCCCAGATATGTGGTCAGACATTCTGGGTGTTTTTGTGAGGGTGTTTTTGGATGAAATTAATATTCAAATCAATGGATTTTAAGTAAAGAGGATTGCCCTCTGTGTTAGTCCATTCTTATGTCACTATAAAGAAATTCATGAGAATGGGTGCTTTATAAAGAAAAGAGGTTTAATTGGCTCATGATTCTGCATGCCATACAAGAAGCATGGTGCCAGTGTCTGTTCCTGCTGAGGGCCTCAGGAAGCTTCCAATCACGGCAGAAGATGATGGAGAACTGGCATGTCACATGGCAAGAGTGGGGGCAAGATAGAGAGAAGCAGTTCTCAAGTGAACTAAGTGAGAGGAGGCCCCACCTAGAGATACAGATTTGGCAGTTTTCAGCTTATTTTTAATAATGGAAGCTGTGATTGCGAATAACCCTTTCAACCTCTGTAGAGTTAAATAAGAAGAGGGCCAAGGAATTATTCCAGGAAACAATACTGTTTTACCTCTGAGTAGACAATAGAGAAGCATACTGAAAAGATATGCCTAGAGACCTGTGATGAGATCTGGAAGAGTGTCAGGGAATCCAAGATTCTGTATAGAAGGAATCAAATCTGTATTTCTTCATCAGCACCTAATACCAAAAATAAAGTAGCAGGCAAATAATAGGCAACCCCTGCCCTCTCCCTCTGACCAATCCGGTTATTATAGGGAAAGTCTTCTAGCTGGTTGAGTCCATATACAATATAATGTTTCATTTTTAATTGTAACACCTAATTAAGCCAGGATATATACCCTAAATGTAACTATATTGTCCATGAACCAAAAGACTCATCATCTCTGTTTAAGACAACAATAGCATGAATATTTATAGCCCTTCAATGTAAAGCCAACTTCTGAGATTTCTGTACTATGTAGACTTTTGTGGAGTTTTTTTCTTTTTTTTTGCTCTCAAGAACTCTCTGATTCCCACTATGACTTTTGCAATTATTAAGACCTAAATAAGAATTCTTAGATGACACACTTGAAATATTAAATCGTATAGCGTAGCCTTAAAATGCTTATAATTTTTGTAGCACAATAATTACAATTTTGCTTACTTTTCACCCCTAGATTATTGCATTTTGATTTTAAGAACCTGTAAGATCCAAAATACATGGAGCTTGATTATATGATCAGCTTGAGATATATAAGCATTTTTTATTAGTTCTAAGAAATTTGGGCAATAATATGTTGTAGTTGGGAAGATGAGATTAGTAGTTTTGCAAATATAGTTTTCTTATCTTTTTAGAAGGAGTCCTTATCAGTATCCTTTTCTCAGTTCCAGTTACCTTTTAAGATCAGTGTGAGCAGTTGTCAACTGAGATATGTTACTGTCCCTTTTAGGAGGTGCATTTGTGATGTTCTTTATTTAAATCTAAAACAAACATTTCAGGCCAGACTCAGTGGCTTACATCTCTAATCTCAGCACTTTGGGAGGCCAAGGCAGGCATATCAATTTAGGTCAGGAGTTCGAGACCAGCCTGGCCAAAGGGTGAAACTCCGTCTCTACTAAAAATTCAAAAATTAGTCAGGAATGGTGGCAGGCACCTGTAATCCCAGCTACGTGGGATGCTGAGGCAGGAGAATCACTTGAACCCAGGAGGCGGAGCTTGCAATGAGCCAGGGTCATGCCAGTGCACTCCAGCCTGCGTGACAGAGCGAGAATCTGTCTCAAAAAAATAAAATAAAATAAAAAGTAAACATTTTAGAAAGTCACTAAACTGAAGAGTTCAGGATATAAAGACTTAGGTTGTAGTTGATTCAAAACTACAACCAAAAGTTGATCAACTTGTAGTTGATGAGGAACATAGCTAGGTCAAGGTAATACAGTTCAGTCACCTTTTTTTAAACATATCTTGATCAATTTCCTGTATTACTAGAATTTTACAACTATGTATCACAACTATATATATGCAACTGTGTATATATCTACAATAGACAATATTCTGCATTATAAACTGTAATGGATAGACTACTGTTTTTAGTATACATATATCTTGATACAGCTAAATTTTTCTCTGATGTGAATAAATTTAAAAGCACTCACTGCAACAAAATGAGATTCTATCTGGCCGTTATGCACCTAGTAATAACATCAAGATACCTTTATTTTTCATTTTCCTTTAGTTCCACATCTTGTTTCCCAGGATAGTAATGAACTTTAATTCTGCAAGTTTATGTAGTCTACTTTGATAATATATTGAAACTGAAACCCTTTAGTGGATATATTTTAAGCAGGATATCAAATCACACCTTGATAATCTCCTCTCCTCAGAAACACTTAGAATGGCCACAAATAACTCTCTAGGAATTAAGTTATTCATAGTATTTATTTTGTATGCTTTACTGATACTTTTATTTGTGTGGCCATTTAAAAGAACCTGAAAACTGAGTATATAACTATACATTCTTTAAAAAACATCTGTTTAATTATTTTCAAATCTATGTATTATGATAGCATTAAGTGCTATTAAGCAATCTTTAACTGTGCCCTTTTTGTTTAAATTGTACTAATCAATAAATAACCCTGTCATGTCTTTATTTCTTTATTTGGACAGAATCACTGCCCAAATCCCTTACCTATCCTATTGTAGTTATAGTTTCTTAATGAGGATTATTACAATAAATAAATAATCAAAATTTTATCAAGCACATAGTATGGGCCAGAGCTTTGAAAGATAATTTGGAGGCTATGGAAGAAATAGAAAAGAGGGTCCCAGATCTCAAAAAGCTTGAAATCTAAAGGGAAAGACTACATTTCTGAAACAACCAAAGAAAAATATAAGCAGGATATAACTGAATAATACATTGTATGAGACTGAAATATTAAGACTAGAGAGGCCAATGTAGGCTGATATGGTTTGGCTGTGTCTCCATCCATATCTCATCTTGAATGGTAACTCCAACAATTCCCGTGTGTCATGGGAGGAACCTGGTGGGAGGTGATTGAATTACAGGGGCAGGTCTTTCCTGTGCTGTTCTCATGATAGTGAATGAGTCTCATGAGATCTGATGGTTTTAAAAACAGGAGTGTCCGGGCACAGTGGCCCACGCCTGTAATCTCAGCACTTTGGGAGGCCGAGGTGGGCAGATCACGAGGTCAGGAGTTCGAGACCAGCCTGACCAACATGGTGAAACCCTGTATCTACTAAAAATACAAAAATTAGGGCATGGTGGCCCACCCCTGTAATCCCAGCTACTCAGGAGGCTGAGGCAGGAGAATCACTTGAACCCAGGAGGCAGAGGTTGCAGTGAGCCGAGATCATGCCACTGTACTCTAGCCTGGGTGACAGAGTGAGACTGTCTAAAAAAACCCAAAAAACAAAAAACAGGTTTCCCTGCATAAGCTCTGTTTTTGCCTGCTGTCATCCGTGTAAGATGTGACTTGCTCCTCCTTGCCTTCTGCCATGATTGAGAGGCCTCCCCAGCCATGTGAAACTCTAAGTGCATTAAACCCTTTTTCTTCCCAGTCTCAGGTATGTCTTTATCAGCTGTGTGAAGACCAACTAATACATAGGCTAACTTAGTTAAAAAGAACTTGGCCTGGGCTTTGAGGTGATGGTAAGGGAGTATGGCATTTAATCTTGGACTTGAAGGGTTGACAAAAAGATATCCGGAATAGACAAACCCCTGGCTAAAGAAAATGTATGTGTTTTCTGAAATTGATGATTTTTAATGCGGATTAAATTTAAAAAGCTAAAAGTATTTATTCTATCACTTAGAATGATAACTATTAAGAGTCAACTAGTGAAACCTACTATGATTCTTTATATATATATACACGTATACATACATATATATGTATGTATACGTATATATTATATATGTATATGCATATATGTATGTATATGTACATATTATATATACGTATACATATGTATACATATATGTATATACGTATGTATACGTATATATAATATATATATATATTTTTTTGAGACGGAGTCTTGCTCTGTCACCAGGCTGGAGTGCAGTGGTGTGATGTTGGCTTACTGCAACCTCTGCCTCTTGGGTTCAAGCAATTCTCCTGCCTCAACCTCCTGAGTAGCTGGGACTACAGGCACACGCCACCACGCCCAGCTAATTTTGTTTTGTATTTTAGTAGAGACAGGGTTTCACCATGTTGCCCAGGCTGGTCTCAAACTCTTGAGCTCAGGCAATCTGCCCACCTCGGCCTCCCAAAGTGCTAGGATTACAAGCTGGAGCCACCGCACCTGGCCGATTATCAATATTTTAGAATTTAATTGCTCTTAACTTCTTTACATAGAGAAATGCAGACATAGCTTAAACTCTTAGAAGATTATAGATAGACTGAGGTTCTTAACAAGATCTGTGTACTCTTAATTATTAATAAAATTGAGAACTAACTACAAAAAAACTCTTAATTTTATCTGTTTCTAACAGAAGAGACATGCTCTCAAAATGTCTTTTATATGTGGTTTCTGGCTGTGCTGTACCATTCAAAGTCATGGTTTTATACTGTAGATTATTTTGAAGTGACAGAACTGATAAATAAAGAACAGCTGTGACAGTAACCTTATATGTCAAACTAGAAACTGGAGTAAAAATTTAAAAATTGACACAACAGTACGATATAGCTTTTGTGCTAATTTTCTGGCGTTAAAATGATACTTAAATTGCTGCTTTTGTTGTGAGACAGAATAAAGATGGACTGGGTGTAGAGGTAGAACACAGAAATATTTTATACTTCTCAACTCATTAAGCCTGATGAGGCCCTTTTTGAAGTCCAGTGCATCTAGGCACGTGGCCCCTTGCATCTGTAGTAATGTGCACAGCCTAGAACAGCAGCAGTGAAGGTGAAAGAGTGCCTCCTGCTCCTGGCTATGCACCGTGTGTATACGGGCCAAATACTTTTGAGAATTAAAAAAAAAAATTAATCTGAGTATTTCAAGTAAAATCCTTTTCTTTGATTAAATTTATAGATACTTTTAGTTTATTTTTATTCTGTAGAATAACAGATGTCCTTATCTATTGAAGGACTAGAAACTGGTGACAATAATTAGAAAATAGATATAAAAAAAGTTGTATACTTTTAAGAAGAAATGACATTTCATGTTTATTTTACACTGATTAGCTGCAAAAAGATCTAAGAGGGTTTTGGAATTTTTCATCAGTGTGTTTGAGTGATATTTTGAAAGAAGTTGTTATTAGTGATTTAAAATTAGTCCTTTCTTTGTCATCTGAGATAGAAGTGTAGAGGGCTGGACTTGTTTATCTCTTCATTTGTATTTTACTGATTATTTTATTTCAGGATCAAAGTGTGGGATGAATTCTTTATCCTTTTGGCATTTTGAAACTTTTCAAATGTTAAAAAAAACTTTTTATTTCTAAAAATGTCCACTTCTCTCAAAGCTACCTGACAATTGTTAAAATAAAAGAATACAAAACCACTTTGTGGGTTTATGTTTTGCTATTGTAACCTATTGTCTAAAATAAAGTAAGCTTATTTTTTTCTCCTGCTTTGTATCAACTCAAAACAATAATATTCTGTAGGTGACTTTTTTTTTCCTTTTTTTGTTTTTGTTGTTGTTGTTGTTTTCGAGACTGAGTCTCGCTGTATCGCCCAGGCTGGAGTGCAGTGGCACAATCTAGGCTCACTGCAACCTGTGTCTCGCGGTTCAAGCGATCCTTGTGCCTCAGCCTCCTGAGTAGCTGGGCTTATAAGCGTGCACCACCATGTCTGGCTCATTTTTGTATTTTTAGTAAAGACTAAACACTGTCTTTACAACACTGTGTTGGCCAGGCAGGTTTCGAACTCCTGACCTCAGATGAACTCCACCTGCCTTGGCCTCCCAAAGTGTTGGGATTACAGGAGTGAGCCACTGTGCTCGGCCAGGTGACATTTTTCTTTAACTTTGTGTGTATATTTACACTCAGAGAGGTTTCAAAAGGTAACTGTTCAAATTTACTTTCAATTTATTTATTCTTTATATAGGTAAAACTTTCTTATTTAAGCTTATATGCCTGTTAAGTGGACTCATATTTCATTGCATGAGAAAACTGCAATTGCTTTTTCAAACTGTACGAATGCAGTTTCACAGTGGATGTCTAAGTGAAGTCTGCTTTTATTTGTAAATTGTGTAATAAAGATTTGTCTCAAAATTATCAACCATATTAAATATTTCTTAATCTGTATGTAATATATTTATAGAAATATTCTTTTAAAAGCAATACCTTTTGGAAATATTCTTATCAGATAAATGGCATAATAGAAATTCACAATCTAGGAGGCAAAAAACAAAAACCCAAAACAAAAACAAAATCAATTCTCATTTTACTCTTCTACGGACTCAGTGCTACCAGCATCTTTCTTTGGAATTATGTGTAGGTTCTGAACCTAATTCTTCCCCTACTTTTTGTCTAGTTGGGATACTCTCTTACCAAGAAACAGCACAACAGCATAGCATAGCAGAATCTTGACTTTACCCCTTCAATAACTTGGATAACTACTCTGAACCTGAGTTTACTGATCTATAATGTGGATATGATAATAGTTCTCTTACGGTGAAGATTTATCCTAGTTTATATTTTTGCTACACTTGAGTTACACTTCAACCAAAAGATGTGGTAACTGAATAATAATCATCATAATTTGTTATCTGTTATAATAATTTTAAGGATAAATATAATCATTATTACTAATCATTGTGTTTCGGCATCCTTATCAGCCAAATGGGGAATACCTGTGTTCTCTTCAGAATTCCATAAGTGTACTAAAACTATTTGAGTATTTTATTTTAAACTGTACCCTAGTAGAGGAATTAAGGTATTTTTAAGATTCTTACCTTTATGCAAAAGTACTAAAGCTTGACACTTAACTTTATTATTGGCAATTTATGGTAATAAATTATTGTCTTTAGATAAAAGAGTAATTACTGTGTAGCTACTAGTTTCCTAAAACTCTACCTTTCTCTTAGCTATAACAAAATTTTGAGCTTTCTTCAACAAAAGGTCAGTTATTCCATTTTAGCATTTACATGAACAGAAATTAGAGTTAAAATTATCATATATAATTCCTTTTCTTATTCTGAGCAGAGAGACTTAAAATTAGGCTTTAGCAAACAGATGGTAGTAAGCTTATACAGTATTTATGTTGCTTTCTTTTCTGCTAGGAGATGGAAGAGTGACTTACCACTTACAAAAATTATTCTTGGGCTATATGTTGATTTATATGATCAAGTAAGAAACTTTAGGTAGAAGCCCAGTTTTTTTGCTCACTGTTTGTATATCTTGTAAATGCATTGTATTTAAATCCTTCTTACACTTTTTTATTCTCAGAAGAAATTGTGTATGCTTAAAACCAGGCTTCTCAATCTTGATATTTTCCCCAAATTAACCATGTTTTTCTTTCATTTTAGTTCAGACTTGGTTCCTTCAACCTAGAGAAAGTTGAAAACCCAGCTGAAGTCATTAGAGAACTTATTTGTTATTGCTTGGACACCATTGCAGAAAATCAAGCCAAAAATGAGCACCTGCAGAAAGAAAATGAAAGGCTTCTGAGAGATTGGAATGATGTTCAAGGACGGTGTGTACACAGTTTGCTTGTGGTATAAAAATACGGAGCCCTCTTTATGTTGTTATAGCTTTAAGTTAATGATTGGTAAATTTCCAATATATGTGGATTAGCACATATATATTTACCTTAACTGAATATGATTAAACGAAATTATTCATCACTATTGTATATTATAGGAATACATTAATACATTATGTCATTAGTATGTGGTGGCACCAGCAAATTTATAAACAATAAGGATTAATTGGGCATTGAAGATCAAAACCCATTAATACTAATAAAAGATTTAGGTAGTAAATATTTATTAAGATTAATTCAGCTCAAATTATAGGATTAATAATGAATGAAAAAGAGACATGAAATAAAATAAGCATAATTGATTTCTCATTTGGGCTCAGTGAGTGGCATCTATTTCAAATTACAGTGTTTTGGCTCCTAATAGACTTATTTCTCTGGATTTATTGAAAATTCATACTATACCATTTTTAAAGGATGAGCTAATTGTGGCTACTGGATAAGACATTTGGAAGCCTTTTATTTTTATGGCTTTGCCTCTTTTTAAATGAGGAAGAAAAAAATAATTTTTTTTTAAATTATGAACTTTCTCAACTAAATCCTAATCTAGGCTGGCCCAATGTGTAACCTTTATTATTCTATTAGTATAAGATATTTGAAGGAAATAAAATGCATGTTGTGAACACTTGTATCCTCACTTATAATATATATATGTGTGTGTGTATGCACACACATATATATACAGTGAGAAAGAAAATGATGTCTGAAAAATTATGTGGAATATATATATAATAATGATAATAATTATTAGTACATCCAGTAGATTTTTTAAATCTTTTGCTTAAATAACTCTAAAGCATGGGAACAGTTTATCCAACATATTTAGGGTCTTTTTAGCGCAACCATTGTGATTGCTCTGTATAGACGTTAGTGAGTATATGTGAAAGTATATGAAAAATGGTGACGATTTTACCACTATCAACATATGTATGTGAAAATGAGGCTGACTAAAAGATTATTTTTCTGTACATTCAATTATATTTATTAACTAATGCAAAACATGTAAAATTAAGTTCCTAACATCTAGTGTTATTTGGCTTTCATGTATTATATTAAGAAAGTGGTTATTTTGTTCTATCTTAGATCTACATTTTTATCTCCAATTATTTATATATGTTATATATAAATAATATAAAAATGAGACCAAATCCAAACTGTGTATCAGGAAACCATGCAGAAAAAGTTAATTTTTCTCTTTAACTGCTGTTTATTCATAAAGATGATTTCAATGTGATAGTATGAATCAGTATCAGATATCTGTACTACAAAGCATTTCTTGGACCTGTATCTGTAGCTTGGGTGTATTTTCTATTTAATATGTGAAATAAATCAAATTAAAGGAGATGTGCTATGGTCGTGATAAGCCATTATATTTAAAACTCAGAATACCCTCAGGATGATAGGAAATTTGATCCACAAATTGCCTACAAAAATGCAGACTGGGTACTTGGTACTTGAACAAATTGCTTTAAAATGTCTGCCAGAGGTTGAAAGAGGTATTATCTCATCAGTATTCAACACCACTCCCATAGAATTGAAAGCAGCAGGGAACGAAGATGGGGAATTAGAGACAAATGCACCCTGTGCTGTAACAGTGTGTGTGAGGGGCACATATTATATGTGGCTCACAGATGCTTGATTTGCTATTTCTGGACTATCCAGCAAGTGCTTTTGTCTTGTTGTGAAGAGATTTCCTGTTTGATCAAAAGCACAGCCATGTACCCTGTCACCTGCTTTATTATGATCCAGCTATTTTTTTGATAGTACTGTGTCAGATGTCTTCTTCAGGGTCTATAGATGTGTGCCAGTGGGTGGCCCTATGTCCTGAGAGGAAAGAGAGTCCACTCCAGAGAATTCTAGTCTCTTTATTGTATTCCAGATCTTAGATTAGTAGCTTTAAATATTTCCCAAATTTGATTTTCTTTCCTTTCAGAGGACAGAGGCCACTTTAAGGAGCTGTAAATACATCTTGATCATGGCCAAGCAGCAGTTTCTTAGTGTTCCCTCACTAGAGCCTTTGCATGCTGGAAAGGATTTACAGCTTTAGCTTCCATAAGGCAGTAGTTCTGATTAAGTGTCTTTAGGGAGATTAGAAATAGGACATGAGCATATGGAGTTAGGTAACTGGGGACATAGAAAGTAGAGAATCATTAGAGTTGGGGCCATGATGTTAAGCCTGGCAATAGTTAATTTTGGGGGAAGCCTCCGATTATTTTTGGGTCAGTGTCCATTCATGATCCAAACATTTCTTCTATACTACATATGAAGGGATGGGAGGGTGGTGTTAAAATAGTGGGGAAGGACACAATGTAAGGGATGGGAATTCCCATAGAAGCGATGGTAGATGGGTCTGAGATACATTTACTACCCCATAGGATATTATATGAGAATAAAATAGTTGTGTACACATGTGTTTATTAGCATGGAAAATGTTGATCATATATTAAGGTGAGATGTGCATCACCACAAATATAAACAATATCCCATTGTTTGCAAAAAAATATATTTATATAGAGAGTATCTGGAAGAAGAAAATTAAATGTTAATAGTGTATATCTGGAATTGTAGACTACATTTTCCTTTAATTTTGGGGAGTATTTTTTGTATATGTTTTAGTATTTAAATATGTATCACCATTATAATCAAACAATTATAAAGCTATTTTCATTTGGGATGATGGTGGAGAATAAACACTTGAGTGAGGAATGAGAAATTACAGCATAAGTAAAAAGTGTGAGCTTTAATGCATAGAATTTTAACATATATATTTGCTGTTATTTTTAATTACCACTTAATAATTGTGTTCTTGGCTCCATTTTGAACAAGTGGCATCAGTGGATTAATTTTGTATAGTGTAGATAAAGGAGGAAACATTTAAGATGTGTACGTGAATCCTTAGGTTACTGGCTATATTTATTTCATGGGTTTTCTACTTAATTACAAATAAAAACTCTCAAGTTCCATGTTACTGAATAGGTGTTTTGTTTGCACTCAGACCTCTACTTAGAAATTACCTGCCTTTATTCTGAGTTATAGTTATTAAACCCATAATTGGAGGCAGTTTTCAGGGAATTGGGTTGACACTCACAGAATCATCAAAATAAAAGACCTTGAAAGCTCTTCTACTTCATCTCTCTGCCTTCAAGATACAATCACATTATATCCAGATGAATTCAGTCCGATTTTTAAAGACCTCAAGAGATATCTTCATCTCCTCTTGATAGCCCGTTACAGTGTTTAAGAACTGTCGCAGTCAGAAAATTCTTTCTTCCATCTATGGGTAATCTGAATCCTTCACGGTATAGTTGAAGGCCATTTCCTCTTGTTCTCTTGTCAGAAAGGATGAGGAACAGCTGTTCACCATCTTTTTCCGTACTTAAAGCCTTATTAAATCTCTTTACCACTGCTTGCTTTTCCAGTTCTTTTTAGCTTTCTTTGTCTTCCCAACTCTATTCAGACTTTCTTTTGACATACAACCCTGACCTGGGCCAGATATAATTTTGGCCAGAACTGATTATTAATTTAAGGATTACTGCACTGTGTCTAAATACCATATGTTCACATTTATATATCTATTATTTTATTTTGAGCTATCATTTAATCTGTTGTTTCATTTTTGGTGTTATTTCTGCATGAAATTGTTGTGTTTTTCCTCCTAGTTTGTTATTGTTTTGACATGTTATTCTTAGATTGTTTTCCCACCCAGAGACATTTTATTTTGAATATTCAGTATTTTTTTGTATTTTTTTATCCTTTTAATTTTTTAAAAAAAATTACTATTTTTTTGTCCAAGGTTTTAGATACCTCAGTGCTAGGTTGCTAATTAAATTTAGCATTATTGTTCTGTTTTCCTAGTTATTGTAGAAAGGATGAAGTATCATTAGACCTTTCTTGTTTGATGTTATTTGTGATTTCGTCCCAATTTGAGATTTGCCTGGATTTGATCCTTGGACTAGTGTGGTCTGATCTAGTTGTACATGGGCTTTTTGTTAGTGTCACCAGACTTAGCAGTGAATCCCATGTCTCTTCTCCACTAAATGTTCTCACCTAACAGTTCCTGTCCAATTTCTTGAGGCATAAGCTTGACAGGAAGCACGTAATGGAATGCATAGTAACATCATAATGCTCTAGGAGAGGATTGGCATTAAAAATTAGGTGGGAATGATACGACATACCTCTTAGTTACTGATTATTGGATAAAAGGATAGCATTCTCTGAGTCTTGAAAAATTAAAAGTTAAGAGTAAATTCATGTCATGCAACTGTTCACACTAATACTTTTTCTCCAGTCAGCTCCCGCTCCCCCACTTTTCTAGGAAGTGTTGTCCAGTTTGATGATCAGAAGTTTGGTTGCAAAAAAATCCTAAAGCTTTGCTGAAACCAAGCAAGGTTAACTCACATGATACCATTCATTCTATTGACTGTGTTTTCCTGTCACAGAAATGTTTCCTTTGACAACATAGATCTGATACTGGTTACTTAAGATTAACAATATTCTTTAGGAATATTATATGATATTTCATTTTCATATTTATTTTCACTTTGAATGTGTCATACCAAATGTTAATTTTAATAAAGGTTTGGGAATTAGCTTGTTAGTTGTTAAGTACACATCATCATTCAATCAAGAATTATTGAAGTGACTTATATGGAAATTAAATATGGACTTAAACCAGATAAATTACTAATTGGTTACCATTCCTAAAATTTAATATAAGAAATTGTAATATATTTGTTTATATGTTTTCACATATTGGTTTTTACTTTGCATATGTTTGAAGTATGTTATTATATACTCAGGTATTTCAGTAATATGTATGTTTTAAAGTTTTTTGTTGTGTTTTTTTGAAAATATTATAGGAAGATAAGAATATCATGCTTACGTAACACTGAATCTGAAATATAAATGTAGTGACATGTCTTTGCTTAAAATAAACTATCAATATTGCTAGCTCCTTTTCAATATTCAGTTTTTTTCTAACATCTTTCGTGTACTTCTTTCTCAGAGAACTTTGCTTAATGAAGGGAATACTGTTAGATTGATATTATTTGCCACAGTTTTTTTAAAAGCTGAAGATGAAAAACATTACTTTTACAATGGTGAATAGCTATTAAATGAGGGAAAAAATACAATATTCGGAATCACTGTTTTTCTGTTTCCTTATAAGATGTCAATATTAGCCATTCTCCTTGGCTCTTCTTCTTTGCTGGAGGGCTATAGTCAGCCATGGTGCCCAGCAGGAATGGCATAATCCTGAAGCCCCACTTTTGTAAGTACTGGCAGTGGCCTATAGCAATATGGTTCACCCAGCCTGCAAGGAAGAGCCACAGACATGGGACTGGGCAAGCCCACTGCATTGCCCGGTGCCTTGTATCTGGACCCACTGGCCCCTAGTAAAATGCCCCACATGAGGTTTCACACCAAGTACAAGCTGGTAGGGGCTTCAGCTTGGAAGAATTAAGGGTGGCCAGCATCCACAAGAAGATGGCCTGGACCATTGATTTCTCTATTGATCCAAGGAGGTGAGACAAGTCTACTGAGTCCCTGCAGGCCAATGTATAACAGCTGTAGGAGTACTGCTGGAAGCTTATCCTCCTTCTCTAGAAACCTCAGCCTCCGAGAAGAGAGACAGCTACACTGAAGAACTCAAATTGGCCATCACACTGACAGGACCGGTAATGTTCATATGAAATACCTATACGAAGGAGAAAGCCAGAGTCATCACCAAGGAGGAAGAGAACTTCAAGACTGCCACGTCAGGCCAGGTGCGGTGGCTCACGCCTGTAATCCCAGAACTTTGGGAGGCTGAGGCAGATGGATCACGAGCTCAGGAGTTCGAGACCAGTCTGACCAACATGGTGAAACCCTGTCTCTACTAAAAGTACAAAAATTAGCCAGGCATGGTGGCAGGTGCCTGTAATCTCAGCTACTCGGGAGGCTGAGGCAGGCGAATCGCTTGAAACCAGAAGGCAGAGGTTGTAGTGAGTGGAGATCGTGCCACTGCCCTCCAGCCTGGGCAACAACAGCGAAAGTCTGTCTCAAAAAAAAAAAAAACAAAAAACCTGCCATATCAATGCCTGGCTCTTTGGCCTCTGGGCAAAAAGGACCAAGGAAGCTGCAGAACAGGATATTGAAAAGAAAAACTAAAGCACTGTTGAGGCCTTGTAATAACTCTGCAGAAAAGCTGGGAAAACGAATAAACCACTGGGAAAATAAATAAACCAAAAAGATGTCCATATTAATTTATTCACTTTATTCGTTTGTCTAATAAGAACCTACCAAACATCTGTCGAATGCTAAACACTATGCTGGGCACTGAGGATACAGTGGCCAATAAAACACACATGCTGTCTGCTTTCGTGGAGTTCACATCTTTGGCAAAGACTGTGCTGTAAGAATTTGCTGAAATTGGTCCCAGAGAATATATTGCCATATTTTCCTTTTTATCCTATGATACGTTCTAATTCTTTGCATCTCTAGATAGGTAGATTGTTGAAAGTTTAAGGGCATGTATATAAAAGCTATCTAATTTGGACATTTGTGTTTCTAATTTCACTGAAATATATATGTGTGTGTCTATATATGTACACACACATATATATTACTACTGGTATATATGTGTGTGTGTGTTTATGTACAGTATAAAAATACTAGGATACCTGTAAAACAACAACAATGTAAATAAGCAGTATGAAACAACATTGAAAAGAATACATAAAATAATTTGTATTTGAATCAATAAAATAGGAATGTATTCATCATGTATGTGTATGCATATATTAAGTATATACAACCTCAGCTATTTTGCTTTCTTTATATATCTCTTGGGAGCTTAAAATAAATACAATCCCTTGTTAGCTCATTTGAGCAGTATGGGATGAATTAAAAACAATAGAGAATTTTGTATGTTTTGTCTTACGTATCTAAATTTGAAGATATGTAGTGTTTTACATTTGCTGTTTTATTAATCTCTCCTTGAATATATCAAGTAGAATACTTTCATTGGGTATGTGTATTGCATTTCTATATGTATTTGTGTGTGTGTGTGTGTGGTGCTCGCTTATAAGAATATAACTGGATAAGTCGTGTTCTTGTTGTGGAGCAGTTTGTTGTCTAGTAGATAAATCAGACAAATTAGCTATGTTGCCTTATCACAAAATAAGATTGTAGTTGCTTTTATAGTAATATTAACATAGTACTGAGGAAACAGGCTACATTTACTCTTGTTTGAAATTTATCCCATAAAAACATTCTTTTGTAAATAAACCATATGTATCAATAAATTATCTTTAGGCATTTTGATTTTCTAAAGGCTTATTTGTATCAGTTTTCAATTTTGATCCTTATCTCAGTAAATAAATTACATTAATAACCAATAATTTCTAATTGTGTATTTAACCATCTTTATAAAACTTCCAAGTCAGTGAAAGCATATGTGAAAATAATCTTTAATTGTATTTTCCTTGAAATCTTCTTGATTATTAGGCTGAATTATGTTAATGCTAAGCAGAACTGCATGACTAATTTGTTTACTTATTTACTTTTTTAGATTTGAAAAATGTGTGAGTGCTAAGGAAGCTTTGGAGACTGATCTTTATAAGCGGTTTATTCTGGTGTTGAATGAGAAGAAAACAAAAATCAGAAGTTTGCATAATAAATTATTAAATGCAGCTCAAGAACGAGAAAAGGACATCAAACAAGAAGGGTATTTTCGCTATCTTGTTTTTGGATGACAGATGAATACATTTAAGTGGAATTTCTTCCCAAAGTTAATGAACATTAGATGCCAACTTTTTGATCATATGAGATAATTTGGTAGTCTGGATGTGGATGTTCAGGCTGTTAGATAGGGGTACCATGGGCTAGAGAGTTCTCAGCATGGTCTCTCTATGTCTGCTCAACTGTGTCACCTACACTTAAATTAAAAAACTGACATGAGGCTTATTAAAGTATTATTTAATTCTTAGACATTAGTAAGACATACTAATTTAAAAAAAAACTTTCATCTGCAGAACTACAAAAGTTGGATGCATATTTGTAATCTTGATGTCTAGGCAATGATTAACTTTAGAATCAAGTGGTTAATATTAAATTCCAGGGAGCACTTATTTTATCTGATTAGAGTGTGATTATCAGTTTTATTCTTCTTTCACATATTCTCTGAAAGTACATATGTACTTGATTTTTATGGAAGAATCCTAAGTGACAAATGGCTGATACGGCTTTCGACGATTATAACTTTTTTACGCATTAGCAAATACAAGTTAGGGTCTGTTGCTTTGAATCTTAGTAGAAGTACAGAATTACCAGTGACGTAGTATAAAAAAATTTGATATCAGCTAGTCCTAGCACAGGTACTGGTCTTGCAGTCATACCTATTAGTTTATAGCTTTGGACAAGTCACTTTATCTTCATAATAAAGGTAAAGATACCCATCTTAGGGTTTTGCAGAGATCAAATGAAATGCGAACTGTTCTGAGATTAGTAAAATGTTAAATACTCTGTGACTCACAGAGATAATTTGTTAGAAAAAGTATTTTGATGGAAGAATAGTACCTGATAAGAAACTGATTTAATATTAATTATAATAAGTACTAAATTCAGATTAAAATTAGGTAAAAGAGAAACTTGTTCTTAAGAGAGTTAATATATAGGTTTTAAGATGCTTTCATCTAAATCATATATATTTTCAATATGTTTGTCTAATTAGAATCTTTTTCTAGGAATATTTTCTATAATTGCTTACTGATAAATCTGCTGCCTAGCAGGGGGTGAGCCAGTTATTTATAATTCTACCTTTCTCTGTTTCTAGGGAAACTGCAATCTGTTCTGAAATGACTGCTGACCGAGATCCAGTCTATGATGAGAGTACTGATGAGGAAAGTGAAAACCAAACTGATCTCTCTGGGTTGGCTTCAGGTAAGAGATACATACATTTATCTCCTCTGTTGAATATCTTATTTGGGCTTCTTATTCTAATGACAAGAAACCATAATGGAAAAATGTTGTGAAAGACCTTATTCTATGAAAATTCTTTAGCATTTTTATTTTAAAAACTCAAATTTTTAATGTTAAAACTTAATATTATTTGTAAAATGCAGCAACTCATTAGCACAGCAGTGTGAGCAAGCATTCATACACATATACTCCAAGGTATACTATTCCTGGTTAAATATAACCAGGAAAAGCATAAGCAATGAGGAAGAAACACCTTTATGCTAAATATCATCAGCTTAAAGCTGGTTGCCTTTAACATTTGAGATCTTATTTAGCTAAAGCCATGAATAGGCCACTGGAGCAGAGTAATCAAGAATGCTCTAAATTATACTGAAGTTGAGGCCTTCTTTCACTCTTCAGAAAAAAGATTGCAACAAGTGAGATGTAATAGAGGAAAAGAGAAGGGGAAAAATGGCAGTTTAGTACAAAGTACCTATGACTTACTCAGTCCTTTGGATCAAGTTCCCAGCAAGTGTTTAAACCCATGAGTTATTTTTTAAAATGTTTTATAGATTTCCTAGTGACGGTGGAAACAGGAGCCTCTGAACTCATTTTATACTTAGATGGTTTTGACCTAAAACCAATACTATTAAAATAAATGCTTGATTTATTTATTTAGAAAATATTTTTGAGTTCCTATTATGTACTAGAAACTTTGCTATGCATTAGACAGCAAAACACAAAAATCTGTGCCATTGTGGAGTTTAAATTGTAGTCAGGGAAACATATAAGATGAATAAATATAAAATATGTTAGGTTGATAAGTGCTAAAGAGAAAAATAAACCAGAGAAGGCGTTAGAAAGGTCAGGGTGAGAATAAGGATGAGGGTTATGATTTTAGCCAGACTATCAGAAAAGGCCTCAGTGAGAAGGTGAAGGTGACATGCTGTCTTGGGGAAGACCATGCCAAACAGAAAACAAAAACAAAAACAAAAACAAAAAAACACTAAGTACAAAGTTCCTGACGCGTTTAAGCAATACTATAGAGTGTAATCTGGATAAAGTAGAAAGATGAAGACTGGGAGAATTAGGAAATGAGATGAGAGAGATGATGGGACCTCATCACGTGTAGGGCGATATAGGCTACCATTAGAACTTCTCCTGTTACTTTGAATTAACTTGGAAACTACTGAAGGATTTTAAACAGTCAGGTGACATAATCTGACTCAAATTTCAAGAGGATTAGTCTGTGTATTGTGTTAAGAATAGACTATAGGATGACAAATGCAGAAGAAGATATAACAGATGGGAAGCTAGTACAACAATTCGGTGAAGGATGAGGCTGGCTTAGACCAGAGTGATGGAGAGGCGATGAGCAAGGAGCAGATTCTAGGTGTGCTTAGAGGCAGCAGGATTTGCTGATGAAGGGGTTATGACTGAGCAAATAAGACTGAGAAGGAGCAGCCAGGAGGTAAGAGGCAAAAATATAAATGTGGTATCCTGCTGATTGATGGATTTAGCAATACAAACGTTATTAAGGATCTTAATAGAACATATTCACTGGATTGGTGAAGGAAGGGGATAGGAGAGAATAGGAGTTTCAAAGGGAATGGGAGGAGAGAACTGGAGATGAGACAGGCAATACTTTCAACAAATTTCACTGTAAAAAATGGGAAAGACATGGGGCGGCAGCTGGAGGAGGAAGTAGGATAAAGAAAAGTATTTTTGTTTGTTGTTTTTAAATAAAAGAAAGAATATGTTTGTATACTGATGAGAGTAACTAAAGAGAGCAGGTAAAACCATCAAGGCAGTAGACAGAGGAAAAACTACTGGAAATCTGTCTCTAAAAATATAAGTGGATGGGATCCAAGGGACAAGTAGTAGATTAGTTTAGCCAGGAGCATAGTCACTCCCCATAATGACAGGAGAAAAGGTAGAATAAACAGATGAAGGCACAGGAAAGTATCTAACTGCAGTCACAGAAACTTATTAACATTGATTAAACTGGTTGATTCATCTGATTCTAATCAGATTTGAATTGGATTACACAATACACACACAATCATACTTTTGCACTTGGGAATGAAATTTCTTTTCACTTGGCAGTTATGCTTGTTTTACCCTAGTGTCCCATTTAAAATGAAATTATTATTTAATAATCAAATAGAGAAAAACTTACAAAGATAATTTGTACTCTTTCCAGTTTAAACTTTCAGAATTTTTATTAAATACAATGACCTTTGGTCTTGTTTCTTAGTCAGAGTATCTTACCAATATTTGAAGTAGGTGAAAATTATTGATGAGAAAATACGTGGTTAAATATGGCTATATGAGAAAGAGGACTTTTATGTGTTCAGTCTATTTTAAGTAAAACTTTAAGCTACAATTGTACTATTTTCAATTTGGCAAAATTCTCCTTTCTCTTCAGAAATGTTTAGTTTATTTCATGTTCTTTCTCTATTTTACGTGTCTTTATTTCTTTAGCCCACATCTAGTTCATTACACATATGATCTATAGGTCTCTGTTTTTATTTTTTATTTTTGCATTTAACTTGCTTTTAGTAAGTTTTCGATGTCAAGAATTAATAGCATAATAGAACTTTACCCTTTTTCTTCTGCTGCAAAAAGAAATGTTTAGGAAACAGATGCTGACTGAAATAGAAAAATAAATCTCATCTCAAATGCTTGACACTGAATCAAGAACTAGATTTCATAGATCTGAGAAAGAAAATTGTAGATGTTAAACAACAAAATGGGCCACCCTATAATTTACCAGTTTCCACAATTAATTCTTCTACAGAGACAAAATATGTTTTTAGTCCATGAGAGATAATTCTGTTGAACACAGCTTTCTCTTTTTGGTACTCTATGTAGTATTACTATGTTTTTTGAGGCAGAGCAGTGAGAATTTCTTCCTGATCTTATTCTGCCATCTTGATAATAAATTACTTGCTCTTTGAATACAAATAAATTTGTGAATTTATTTTAGATATTGCAATTTCCTGTGTGCTTTTCCTACAATAAAAACAAGAAAAAGAGAATCTGATGGGGATTAATACATTTATTCAGACTTTCAGAAAGCTGTCTTTAAGTGGCTGAATATATAATTTGGTAGTTATTTTGTTATAGTAAATGGATTTTTATCATTAATTATTAAAATGCCCAAATTTCATCTGGAGTTGTTCACATTATTACCCAATTTCTTGATGATAAAATAGAGGTTTAGTGAGATCAGGATCATTTAGTAATACGAAGATGAATATGTTAATCTGAATCTGAGTATGGTAAATTTGAATTGGATTACACAATAGGCATACAATCATACTTTTGTAAATGGGAATGAAATTTCTTTTCATTTGGTAGTTATGCTTGTTTTTACCTTACTGTCCCATTTAAATGAAATTATTCTTTAATAATCAAATGTAGAAATATTCACAAAGATGGTATGGTAATTCATTCACAAATATGAAATGGCAAATTCATATTTACCGTATTCACTCTAGGGAAAAGTCTGGTTACTTTTATGCATATATCCAGAAGTAGAGTAGGGGTATTACAATTTGAAGGAAATTGTTAAGTTACATTTTTATGAATACGCAATCAATTTATGGCTTTTTTTCCTCTAAATTTTCATATTTTCCCACTGCCATTAGGATTACTGAGGAAATAACTAATGATAATGTAGATCAGTCTAATAAACCACATCATGCTCATATGTACTGTATGATGTAGCATGAAAAACCTCAAAAAATACTCATTTTCTTGGCTAAAAGGAAATCCCCAAAGTATTCTGAAACTTGAATATCACAGTCAATATCACCGCATACTACATTTTATATTTTTCCATAGCAAGATTTACTTTTACTATGTCTTGGATTTTAGAATTTCCAGATAGATAGTGATTGTATTACTGACTTTATTTCTTAAGCTATGGCTGCATACTAAGGCCCTGGATTTTATAGGTATTTCACTTTGTTTTATATTAAGATTATGATAAATATAATAGTTGCTGTAGTCTCTATTTGTAGCTCAAGCTTTGGACTAGAAAAGTAGGGATCACTTTCACCCCTATCTAGTTGGTATTAAGTACTTGTGGCCTTAAAGATTTCCTGCTTAGTCTGGACTCCTCCTGCCTCCAAAGTGAGTGTGTGTGTGTGTGTGTGTGTGTGTGTGTGTGTGTGTGAATTTAATAGAAATCTGTTGGGTTATTATAGATACTGTGAAACAGTCTTCCCTATAAGAAACTCTTTTTCTTTCCAAATCAAGGTAAAACACGATGTCCCTATCTAAGGAGAAACATTGTTAAACTATGTCCACTAAATAACAGAACCTCAACAAAATATGTAGTGATAGAAGCACCATTATGTATAGCATTAGAGCCAAAATCTGCAACACCACCACATGCAATTGGCCTTTTATTTGCCCCAACCATATCAGATATAATCTAAGAACAGTTTCGCATTGTGCAGTTTTAAAATATTGCTTCAGAACCATTTTCATGCTGTGATAACAGAATTGTATGTGAAAACAATTTTAAAATATATATGAATATTCTAAGAATTTTAGCCATTATGAAACATTTCTTAGTCTTAACATAATTCAAAAAGCATGCAAATATTTAGTGGAAAATTTGAATTTATATGATAGAGTTAGGATTTTTCTTGTGAAACATTTTGAAAAGCTATGCTTAATTGGCTCCTAATTAGTTAGCTATCATAAGGCTAATGATTTTAATTCCTCACTAATTATTTTAATATATAATCAGTATTTCAAAATTATAGTTATTTCTATGAATAGAGTTGACAATATTTATTACAATTATAGGATAATTAAGAGCATTACTAAAATACAAATAAGAAATCTTTTCTAGAATGTTTCACTCTTTTTAGCTGCATATTAAAGGTGCACAACCACTAAAAACAAATATAATAAGCTTTCCTACCACTTTTCTACATAATTACTAGCCCAAGATTTAGCACATTAGTTTAATTAATCCTGCTTCTTAACCAACAGGAAGGTCCCTGTATAACTGCTATCAGTAATTTAGGCTTTCACTTAGTTGGTAGGCTTCCTGAAAGGAAGTGTGATTATAGAATAGCCTTTTTGAAAATAAATGAATGGCTATGTCCAACAGTTGATGAATACTGATATAGTAGCTTTTAAAAATAGAACAGAATCCAATATTTTTAAGTATCAAAGGGCTTGTTGCTTCAAACAGTGAATGTCTACTCACAGAGGGGATAACAACATGTACTGCCAAAGAGATTACTCAGAAACTCAGCTTTAGAATAACAGATTATGCTCTTAGTCTTGCCCAGCTTGTTTATCATAGACACATTTATTTATAAGTTTTAAATTAAAAGCTTGATTTAGTTAAACCTACCACCAAACTGGAAAAGAAATTTAAGTGTATTTCCTAGCAATAGTGGGCTTTTATACATAACCATTGTTGCTAGGAATAACGTTATATGCTTTGGAAATCTAGACTGTATAGTTCTAGATCCTGTTATTTAAGCTCATTGTTTTTCCAGTGAGGGAACAGAGGCCTAGAAAGATTAAGTACGTTACTTTTGGTTACACAGGGGAAAATAATGAAAAGTATTTGCCTTGTAATATAATAATTAACCACATTAGCACGTCTACTCTTGAAATATTATAAAAACCCTTGCAAATTTTCTAACAATGAGGAAATTGCCACTGATACAAGAGAATAATGGGAACACTTTTTTCTCCTATATAGAAAAAAGATCCTATTTGTACATACATTCTCAAGAAAGATAGTCAACGTCATCAGATTGAACAAGTAAGACTTCATGGTAGGTAGCTTGTGGAGAAACTAATAGAATGCACATATTTCTGTTGAAGTCATCCCTGTGTATATTAATTTCTTCAGATTTTGACTTAGTATTTATTCACCTGAGAACTCTCAAATGTCCCAAAGGTTGTTAGCAAATCTATGATGGTTTCTTATTTCCTAGTACTAAAATATAACTTTGATATGACCTCCTAGGCAAGTATCTCTACATCTTTATATGTTTGGGGGGAGACAAAAATTATTTTAATGTTATTTGTCTCTGACTATGGATGAGTGAGAAAACAGGCAAATCCTTTACCCCCAAATCAACTATGAATCTAAAATTGACCCAAAAATAAGCAAATAAGTACTTCCAAACATGGCCAAAGGCAAACAGCAATATGAGAACTGTTTATTCTTGAAAAACTGCTGAAGTTTGGGTAAGAACTGGGAGTCTGTGGATTTCTTGCTTGCCTAAGACTGCCTCTATCACTGCCTGCCCACATTCATGAGTTTGGTCAGTATGAAAGTTATGCCAGCATCTGGCTGGCCATGAGGACTGGCAACTGCTGTACCTGAGCTAAAGAGGGCTCACTCAATTTGCAGCAGAGGGTGATACTCACAACCAGCAGCATTGTCAGTAGAAGTAATGATCTTGGTGTCAGTGGGTAGGTGTGTTAGGCCAATGGATCTACTAACCTGGTTGTGCTCATGGTTGGGGTAAACATATTCCTAGCTGAAAGTGTGCATGCACTTTTGCAGTAGAGACTGAAGAGAGGGCCCAAGCTATTTTTACAGTTCTGGCCTAACCTAGAGATAATACATATCTTCATAGGAGAATAGAAAAAGAGAGGCTAGACTTTCAACATACTCCTGTTCCTGCCACCGCCCCTCCCCCAACAAAAGAAAAGAAACCTATTAGCTTGAGGTGTTTGTGCATTATTTCTATCAATTACTGGCTGACGTCAAAACTGTCTAGACACAGAGTAACCCATTTGGAGCTAGGCTTTAAAATTTAAAAATCAAGAATAAAATAAACTGTGCAGAAACATCAATTGTCACACATCACAAGAGAAACAGATTTCATACATTTACCACAGGTAAGTTAATAAACAAACAAAAAGCAACAGTAGCAAACTTCAGAAGGAAAATAGTCAAAACCCAAAGTTGTTACAATATATTATTTAAAATGTTTAGTTTTCAACAAATTGGACATACAGAGAAACAGGAAAGTGTGGTCCATACTTGGGGGAAAAAAGTAGTCAATAGAAAATGTTTCAGATGTTGAATTTGGTAGACAGACTTCAAAGCACAGTTTATATCTATATCTGTATCTATATATATATACACACATACACACATATGTATGTTTATGTGTATATGTATATATACACATATGTATGTGTGTATATATACACACACACACATTTATATACTAAACTAAACAAAAACATGTTTAAAGCCCTAAAGGAGAGTACGATATAAATGTATCAACAAGTAAAGATTCTCAATAAGGAGATAGAAATTATTTGAAATGAACAATATGAAAATTCTGAATTTGAAGAGTGTAATAACTGAAATGAGAAAGTTACTATAGCAGTTGAACAACAGATTCAAATTGTCAGAATAAAAAAAAATCAGTGAACCTGAATATAGATCAATAGAGTGAATAATTTCCTAGGAATGAAGAGCAAAAAAGATGGAAGAGAAATGAACAGATCTTCAGAGACTTTTGGGACATCACATGTGCCAACATATGTGTAATGTATATTCTGGGACAAAAGAGAGAGAAAGGTAGAAAAAAAATACTTGAAAAAATGAAAGCCAAAGCTTTCCAAAATTTTATGAAAACCATTAGTCTAAACATCCAAGCAACTCAGTAAACTTTAAGTGAGATAAATACCAAAAGATAGGCTGGGCATGGTGGCTCACACCTGTAATCCTAGCGCTTTGGGAGGCTGAGGCAGGCAGAACACCCGAGGTCAGGAGTTCGAGACTGACCTGGCCAACATGGTGAAACCCCGTCTCTATAAAAATTCAAAAATTAGCTGGGCATGGTGGCACGTGCCTGTAATCCCAGTTAGTTGGAAGGCTGAGGCAGGAGAATCTCTTGAACCAGAGAGGTGGAGGTTGCAGTGAGTCAAGATCATGCCACTGCACTCCAGCCTGGGAGACAGAATGAGATTCCATCTAAAAAAAAAAAAAAAACACCAAAATAAAAAAAAAAAACAAAAAGATACATTGAGACACATATACGTAGAAAACATTTGAAATCCATAGAGGGAGACACTTATAGGACAGCATCAATATAACAACAGACATTATCTGAAGCAATGAAGGACAGAAGGCAGCGGTATAGCATTTACAAAATTCTGAAAGAACAAAAAAAGAAATCATAACCAATAGTTTTATATCCAGCAAAGTATCTTTCAAAATAAAGACGAAATAAAGACATTTATTAATTAACAGATTCATTGGTAACAGACCTGTTTTGTGACGCATATTAAGAAATCTTCAGGGTGAAAGGAAACAACATGAAATGATAACATGAATCTACAGGAAGAAATAAAAATAATAAAAAATGTAAAATAGTGGATTAATAGAAAATATAAATACATATTTTCTTTTTTATTATTGTCTTTTATGCCAGATTGAACAAAGGAATAATTACAACACTGTGACATTGGGTTTATAATATAGATAGATACAATATACATGACAATAATAGGACAAATTGGATAATATAGCTATATGAGAGCAAAATTTCTATATTTGCCACATATAAAGATATTATTAATATGAAATAGATTATTAAGTAAATGTATTGAATTAGTAATTTAAGATATTTCCACAAAGAAAACCCTGGGCCCAGATGACTTCACTGGTGTTTTCTATTGAAAATTTAATGAAATTATACCAATTCCTTATAAACTCTTTCAGAAAATAGAGGAGGAGCGAACACTTCCCAACTCATTTTGTGAGGCCGATATTATCATAATATCAAAGCCAGACAAGACATTGCAAGAAAATAAAACTATAGACAAATATCCATCATGAACATAGATATAAACATTTGAAACAAAACACTAGCAAAAAGCAACCAGCTCCATACAGAAAGAATTATACACTATGACCAACTGAGATTCATTCCTCTTATGTAAAGATACTTTTGCATCTGAAAATCAGTTAAAGTATTTCACAATGATAAAATAAAGCACAAAACCACCTGATCATCTCAATAGATGCTGAAAAGGTACGTGACAAAATCCAACACACATTAATAACAAACACTCTCAACAAACCAGGAATATGAGGTAACTTCCTTAACCTAATAAAGGCATCTAGGCAAAAGACCACAGCTGTCACATACTTAATGGTGAAATACTGAATGTTTACCCCTCAATATAGGAAAAAAACAAGGTTGTCTGCTCCCATCACTTCTATTCAGTGTTGCACTAGAAATTCTAGGCAGGGCAATTAGGCAAGAAAATAAGATAAAAGGTATTCAGATTGGAAAAGAAGTAAAACTTCCTTTTTGCAGATGATATGATCTAGTGTATAGGAACACTACGGAATTCACTAAAAAACTCTTAGAGCTAATAAATTGACTCCAGTAAGGTTACAGTGTACAAGATCAATATACAGTAATCAGTTGTATTTCTATATGCTTGCAATGCATAAGCAAAAAATGAAATAAGAAAATTGCTCCTGGCCATGGTGGTGTATTCCTATAATCCCAGAAACTCATGATGCCAAGGAGTTTGAGGCCAGCCTGGGCAACATAGTTGAGACACCCATCTTTAAAAAATAAGGAATTGGCCAGGCACGGTGGCTCACCCCTGTAATCCCAGCACTTTGGGAGGCCGAGGTGG
Organism: Homo sapiens; assembly: GCF_000001405.40. Classification (NCBI taxonomy): domain Eukaryota; kingdom Metazoa; phylum Chordata; class Mammalia; order Primates; family Hominidae; genus Homo; species Homo sapiens. The sequence goes on from NC_000005.10 coordinate 83,214,606, forward strand.
GCAGATCACAAGGTCAGGAGATTGAGACCATCCTGGCTAACACGGTGAAACCCCATCTCTACTAAACAAAAAATACAAAAAATTAGCCGGGCATCGTGTGGGCGCCTGTAGTCCCAGCTACTCGGGAGGCTGAGGCAGGGAGAATGGCGTGAACTTGGGAGGCAGAGCTTGCAATGAGCCGAGATCGCGCCACTGCAATCCAGCCTGGGCGACAGAGCAAGACTCCTTCTCAAAAAAAAAAAATAATAATAATAAAAATACAGAATAAAGAAATTAAGGAAAAGAATTGCCTTCACAATAGCATCAAAAAATACCTAGAAATAAGTCTAACAAAAGAAATTCAAGACTCCTACACTGAGAACTATGCAACATTGTTGAGAGAAATTAAAGAAGACTTAAGTAAATGGGAAAACATCTTATATTTATAGATTAGAAATTTAGTATTGTTGGCCGGGTGTAATGGCCTACACCTGTAATCCTAGCACTTTGGGAAGCTGATGCGGGCAGATCATTTGAGCTCAGCAGTTTGAGACCAACCTGGGCAATATGGCAAAACTCCATCTCTACAAAAAATACAAAAAAACTTAGCCAGGCATAGTGGAGCATGCCTATAGTCCCAGCTAGTTGGGAGGCTGAGACAGGAGGATTGCTTGAGCCTGGGAGGCAGAGGTTACGGTGAGCCAAGATCACACCACTGCAGTCCAGCCTGGGTGACAGAGCGAGACCCTGTCTCAAAAAAAACAAAAAAATTAATATTGTTAAGATAAATACTTTCAAATTGGTACATAGATTCAGTGAGATGCCTATCAAAATCCCAGCTGGTTTTTTAGCAAAAATTGACAGAATGATCCTAAAACTTATATAGAATTTCAAGCAAGCAAGAGTAGACAAAACAATCTTGGAAAACAAGAAATAATTGGAGAACTCTTTCTGATTTCAAAAGTTACTACAAAGATATAATAACCAAGATGATGTAATATTATTATTATAAAGATAGTCATTATATCAGACATAGTCTCACTGATAAAATGAGAATCTAGAATTGAGACTGTAGAAGTAAGCCTTCATGTTTACGGTCAATTGGTCCTCAGCACAGCTGCGAAGACAATTTAGTGGGGAAAGGATAGTCTTTTAGACAAACAGTGCTTGGACAATTGGGTATCGACTTGAAAAACAGTTACACAGGTGTTTACCTCATATGAAACACAAAAATTAACTCAAAATGGATCATAGGCCTATATATAATAGCTAAACCTATTAAAGAAAACAGAAAATCTCTGTGAACTTAGTTTTAGGCAAAGAGTTCTCAACTATAATATCAAAAGCACAATACATAAATGAAAAAATTGATAAATTGGATTTCGTCAAAATAAAAAAAATTCTGCACTTCAAAAAGGTATCATTAAGAACATGAAAACACATGCCATGAATTGGGAGAAAATATTTGCAAATCACATATCTGATAAGGGATTTGTTTCTAGCATATATAAAGAATATTTACAACTCAATAATAAGAAAATAAACAACTGGGTCAAAAAATTTGCAAAAGACTTGAATAGGCATTTCATTGAAGAAGATATAAGAATTGTTAATAATCACATGAACAGATGCTTAACATCATTTAATCATTAGATAATACAAATTACAGTTAAAATCAGATACCACTACACACCTACCTGAATGGATATAATCTAAAAGTTAGAAAATAATGTGTAGGAAAGGATGTGGCAAAACTTGAATCCTCATACATTTCTGGTGGGAATGTAAAATGTTACAACCACTTTAGAAAACTGTTTGGCAGTTCCTCAAAAAGTAAAATACATACTTACCCTATAACCTAGCTATTCTACTTCTAAGTCTTTACTGAAGAGAAATAAGAACATACGTCCTCATAAAGACATATACTTGACTGTTCATCAGAGCATTAGTAATAATAACTCCAAACTGGAAAATTCTGAATGTTCATCTTCTGGTGAAACGTTAAATAAAATGTGGTCTATCCATACAATAAAGTATTATTTGGCAATATAAAGGAGTAAACTACTGATAGATACTTATTGTGGATGAGCCTCAAAAAAATTATGCTAAAGCAAAGGGAACCAGATGCAAAGGTTGTTTATTGTATGATCCTATTTATATCTAATATCAAGAAAAAGGGAATATATATAGGTACTGAAAACCGATTAAATGTTTGCTAAAGCTTGGAGTGGAAATGATGATTAATTCAAATGAGCCCAAGAGAATTTTTGGACATGATGGAACTGTCCTAAAACTGATTGAGGTGATCGTTGTACAAGTATAAATTGCTAAAATCATTGAATTGTACACTTATACTGGGTGAATGTTATGGTGTATCAATTGTTCATTAATAAAAACTTTCTAAGAGTTTCTTTCTAAAAAAAAAAATAAGCATTTGATCATCTTGAGATATTTCAAAACACACACACACACACCCCAAAAACCAATTGTGAGGTCGGGTAGCTCACACCTGTAATTCCAGTGCATTGGGAGGACAAGGCGGGCAGATCACCTGAGGCCAGGAGTTCAAGACCAGCCTGGCCAACATGGTGAAACCCCGTCTCTACTAAAAACACACAAAAAATTAGCCAGGCATGGTGGCGTATGCCTGTAGTCCCAGCTACTTGGGAAGCTGAGTCAGGAGAATTGCTCAAACCTGGGAGGCAGAGGTTGCAGTGAGCCAAGATCACTCCACTGCACTCTAGCCGGGGCAGCGCAGAGCAAGACTCCGTCTCAAAAAAAAAAAAAAAAAAACCATTGCGATAATTTGAGCTGTTCAGAAAAATTCTTGTACATCCTAGGTCAAGAAAGCCAGAGTTCAAAAGTGCAAGTTTCATTCAAGAGTAAATTAATCCGGAGGGTAATGAAATACAAGTATACTTCTTGTTTTTCTATTCTTATTAGTATTATTTTCTGTTCTTATTGCTTTGATAAATCCCTAATATTTTCATAAATCACTGGAGCTATTGAAGAATGAAGTAGAGCTGAACCTCAGCACAAGGATGCAGATGTCAGCAGAATTCTGTAGCCTGTGTAACTCTTACCTGAAGTTTTTACTATACTCAACTTCAATGAATGCCTTCTCTCTCAGTGTATTTTTGTTGGTGTCTGCCTTCCCTCCTGCCCTTTCTCTCTAATTCTTACATTCAAATCCCAAGGGAAGTGGCTTAAGGGTGTCTTCAATGAGAATAGAACATCTTGTAGGTATAACACTTGTTCTGCCACCCATAAGACTGCTAGCCAGCCTGCTACTTGGTTGCATTTTTGCTGTTTTGCTCCAAGTATCTGTGACCAGGATTGCATAAAGTATAGCAATTTGACATTAACTTGTGTCATCTATAAGCTGTTTCAGTGGGCAAAATATATATGAGAAAAAGTATGTGGTCGCTTATTTAACTTAAACATTTAGTTTCTTGAACTTCTCAGTCTTTACCTTTTTTATATATATATATATATTTATTAGATTTTAAGTTCTAGGGTACATGTGCACAACGTGCAGGTTTGTTACATATGTATACATGTGCCATGTTGGTGTGCTGCACCCATTAACTCATCATTTACATTAGGTAGATCTACTAATGCTATCCCTCCCCCCTCCCCCCACCCCACAACTTCTCAGTCTTTAATATGCTAATTAATATGCATGGTGATAAAGATGGTACATACTCTGCAACATTTCTCAAACTCATAAAACTTTATGAACTTTTTTCAGTGGATATTAGTGTTCCCTGCAACCTATGTGAGAAATCCTGTGTTAGATGGTTTCGACTTTCATATGAATGAGGTGAGAAAAGGGAAGGTATCTAAAGAAAACAGGTATTTCCTAGGACAGTGTTTGTATGTCTGTTTTAAGAGGACATGTACTAAATATGAGGAGAGGATCATATATTTGAGGATACAGTTTTAAAATGTAGCATAAAATCATAAGAATAATATTAAACCTCAAACATGCAAAAACTTGGAGGAATTCTGAAAATGGTTAAAAAACGATGTTTTGTTTTGTTTTTTTACCATTGTTGTAAATGGTAAAAACATTCTCAGATCTCAGACTACTCTGAGAATTTACTTATCTTAGCACAAATGTCTGTTGGCATAACTAATGTTAATAGATGACAGAAACAATACACAAATGCTACTTAATTTGGTTTATTTTGCCTCAAGTTGAGTTCTTAACTTGTGGTTTTTAAGAAGTGTTTAGTGAAAGGATATCTGAACTCTTTGGATTTATGTGTAAAATTTTCTATGTTTATCTGTCTATATATCTATTTGTATATCTATATGAATATGTTAGTTTGCCAGGGCTGCTGCTGTAACAAAGTACATAACTGAGTGACTTGAACAACAGAAATATATTTACTCACATTCTGGAGGCTAGGATCCTGAAATTGAGATGTTGGCAGGGTTAATTTCTTCTGAGGGCTTTGAGGGAATGATTTATTAACCAGGCCTCTCTCCTTGGCTTATAGGCAACCAGCTTCTCCCTGTTACATCAAATTTTCTTCCTTCTATACCTATCTCTGTTCAAATTACCCTTTTTATAAGGGTACCAGTCATATTGGATTAGGGCTCACCCTAATGACCTCATTTTAACTTTATTACCTCTGTAAATACCCTACATCCAAATAAGGTTGCATTCTTAGGTCCTGGGAGTTCAGACTGCAAAATATCTTTTTTTGGGTGTGTTGGGGGGTGAGGGGGATTTCCACCCATAACAATGCCAATAGGTCTATATCTTTCTGAAGCAAGGATCCAAATCAAGATGTTGGCTGGGTTGCTGTTTTCAAAAGGGACCATATTCCAAAAATGATTCCAAACCATTGATCTAAGAGACTGATATTTAAACTAGAAAGAATGGAGTAAGACTTGTTAAAAGGGAACTGAAGTCTACAATAGACGAGATGATGAGATAAGAAGAGAAAGTAACAGCATTCAAACAGATAGCTAAATCACTGTCTGTCTGTGCATTAGATTGGAGGTTTGTTTAGAGCTGCAGTGTTCAGTAAGGTTGCCACTAGCTACATGAGGCCATTGAAGATAGAAATGTGGCTAGTCCAAATTGAGATGTGCTGTAAATGTATACTACACACTGGATTTCGAAAACCTGCTATGACTAAGTATGAAAAAAGGAATGTAGTATGTCTCATTAATAAATGTTTATATTATACGTTGAAATTGTATTTTGAGTATATTTAGTTAAACACGTATTAATATCAACATATTCTTTTTCTTTTTCCTTTTTAAATGTGGCTAAATAGGAAATTTAAAATTTTATATGAAATATATATATTCAACATAGTCATCTTGAGGTTCTCAAGTTTTATCTCATGCTGATTTTGTGGTTCTAGAATAGATTTATATTACTTTGAAGAGGAAATCAAATTGTACTAACAAGTCTTTATGGAGCACTTAATATGAGGGTCTTTAGGTCATGAGATCTAACGACCCATGTATGACTAGGATTGTGGGTATAATTGAGTATTTTTACCTAAGAAAGGCAAAAGGTATTGTACTTTACTACAATTAATCAATTTTTTTGATTAATTATAGTAAAACTGACTTAAGAATGCGTGGATCATTTATTTGTTTGTCCCAGGAACGTGAAGCTAGACGTGTTCATTGTCCCTGTTAAACAGCAAACCATGACTGAGTTCAGACAAAAGGTGATGTGAATGCAGCAACAATTTCTAAATCAGTTAAATGTCTATAATATAATATGTAGGATTCTTGTCTTTCTGGGATTGTGACTGGAATCTCTACCACAAACAGCACATCTGGTCCCCTGAGCCAATTCATCAGCATCGCCTGTAAGCCATATTTAAGATCAAAAGGATAGACAAGGTTACCAATGATGAGGTTCTGGAATGTTGCCAGCGCATCAGCACTAACATGATACTTGCCACGACTTAACTCTGAGGGCCTGGGGATGTGTGAAGGATGGATATCAGCAGGCTCTCTAAGCAGATTCTGAATGCATGGTGTGGTGAAACAGAACAGTTACAAGTATGGTGGCCAGAAGAAAAGCTCAATGTGAGACCCTTAGTGGCAAATTCAAGCCTTGTGGTAAAACTCAGGAATGCTGAGAAATAGTAAACCTAGTTAACACCCAGGATTTTTTGAGGAGAGAGAGAAAGGATATAATTTGGGGAGTGACAAAATAAAAAAGATCTTAGGTACTGATGGTCACATTGCTTTTCGAGCTATATTATCTTTTAATTTAAATGAATAATTTGGACAAAATCAGAAGTTGTAAATTGTTGATCCTTTCTGCGAACTAAGCTACATATTTTCTTTCTTTTTCGGTGACATCAGTGTTTTAAATAATTGATACAAATGCATTTAAACAGGGCATTGGTTTCCTGATTTTCTGTAATCTGCAACCCTCCTTATTGTCTTAGATCTGGCTCACATTGTTTATTCTTATCACTTGCATAACTTCTAGAAGTATTTGTGACCCTTGGAGGAAGATAATGATACTGATGATAATGAGTACTGCTGCTGTACTAGTATTCTAATTCTCCTACTAACAATTATTGTTACTACTATTCACTACTACTTCTACTTTTTGAATTACTGTTATTTTTTATTATGGCATCACTACCACAACTGCTACAGACTCATTAATTTAGACACCTAAATTATTTAAGCACTATTTCATTTAACTTAACAATTCTATGAGGTATATACTATTATTATCACCCATTACAACTGAAAGAACTGATGCACATAAAGGTTAGAGAACTTCCTAAGGGTAAGCTGTCTAGTAATTTGTAGAGTTAGAGTTCTAACCCAAGCAGTCTGATTACAGAGCTCATCTGTGAGAGCCCTCCTATCCTAAAGTTCTTTATGTTTTTTGAAATAGAACACTCTAATTTATTAAAATCCTGTAGTTGAGTGTGGCTTTGTATTTTAAATTCAATTATATTCCATGCCTTCATTTTAATAAAATAATTTAGAGCTCCTTAAAAGAGGTGAAATATATTATTTCTTTCTCATCTTAATGGAAGAAGAGAAGGTGCTTTTTTGGTGGTTCTGTTACAATTTGATGGCAGAGCAAATAAAGCAGGAGAACAGTGATTTATGCTCAGTCCTAGATTAAAGGGCTTGTGTTAAAAGGTTATTAAGTATTTATTTAATAAATACTACATTTAATATTAATAATATTAAATGTCCATTTAGACATTAAAATAATAGATTTAGTTTTAAATGTAGCCTTATATACTATTAATGTTTTATTTAGTGGATATAAATTTAGAATTGTTATAGCTTATTGGTGAATTGACTTTTTTATAGTTATGAAATATCTCTCGTTATCTTTCGTAATGCTTCTTTCCTTAACATCTTCTTTATCTGATAGTAGTATAACTACCCCAACTTTCTTTTCTTTGGTGTTTACATGGTTTATCTTTTAATTTTTTTTACCATTATTCTTTCAATCTTTTATATATCTGAGATCGGTCTTTGTGTCAACATCATATAGTTGTTTTTTAAATCTGATAATCTTTGTATTTTGATTGGAGTATTTATTCCATTTACAGTTCATGAAGTTAATTATATAATTTATATATTTTAGGTTAGATCTACTAAGATTCTATTTGTTCTTTATTTTAACTATTCCAACTTTCTTCATTATTTCTTGTAGATTGTTATGATTTTGTTCTAGTGGTCACTCTACAGATGGCAACATATCCGTGATTTATTACAGTCTAATATAAATTTTCACTTTCACACTTTTTAAAACAACACTTCAGTGCATTATTGCATTGTTAGCTTGTATTTAAATTTGCCTTATATTTTTAGACCTCATAAAACATTGTTATTGTAGTTTGGATAGTCAGCATTATGTATATCTGTCCACATCTTTATCTTTTACCTTGTGCATTATCCCTTTTTGTTCATATGTGTTTTTATGTGGAATTCTTTTTCATCAGCCTGGAGAACCCTCATTTTCTTCTTAATTTCTTTATTGGCCAAATTCAGGAACATGTTGTTTAATTTTCATGCATTTGTACAGTTCACAGAGTTTTTCCTGTTATTAATTTCTAATTTTATTTCATCGTGGTCAGAAAATATATTTGATACAATTTTAGATGTTTGTGTTTTTTTGTTTTTGTTTTTGCTTTTTTGTACTTTTTGTTTTGTTTTGAGACAGGGTCTCACTTTACCACCCAGGCTTGAGTGGAGTGGTGCGATCACGGCTCACCACAGCCTCGACTTCCCTGGCTCAAGTGATCCTCCCATCTCAGCCTTCCAAGTAGCTGGGACTATAGGTGTGTGCCACAACACCTGGCTAATTTTTGTAGTTTTTGTAGAGATGAGATTTTGCCATGTTGCTTAGGCTGGTCTTGAGTTCCTGAGTTCAAGCAATGTACCTGCCTTGGCCTCCCAAAATGCTGGGATTACAGGTGTGAGCCTTCGTGCCTGGCAGATGATTTTACTTTTGAAAAATTTGTTGAGACTTGTTTTGTGGTCTAACGTGTCATCTATCCTGGAAGATATTCCATGTTCTGATGAGAAGAATGTGTATTCTGCAGCTGTTGGGTGAAATGTTCTGTAAATGTCAAGTCTATTTGGTCTAAAATGTAGTTTAACTCAGATGTTACTGTGTTTGGTTTTTGGCCTATTTTTGAATGTGGGGTTTTGAAGTTCCCTATTATTATCATATTGTCATCTATCCTTTTCAGGATACAGTTCTATTTCTTTCTATTCAAAGGAGTCTATTCAATCTCCTTTTCAGTCTATTAATATTTGCTCTATATATTTGGGTGCTGTGGTGTTGGGTGCAGATATAACAATTGTTATATCCTCTTGCTGAATTGACTTCTTAATCATTATATAATTACCTCCATTGTTGCTTTTTGCAGTTTTTTTGTTTTGTTTTGTTTTACCTAAAGTTTATTGTATCTGATATAAGTATAGCTACTTTGCTCCTGGTTTTGGTCACCATTTGAATGGAATTTTTTTTTTTTCATCAACCCTCTTTCAGTCTGTATGACCTTACAGATGAAGTGAGTCTATTGTAGGTAGACTTGGGTCTTGTTTTTTGCTTTGTTTTGTTTTTTGTTTTTTGTTTTATTATACTTTAAGTTCTAGGGTACATGTGTACAACGTACAGGTTTGTTACATATGTATACATGTGCCATGCTGGTGTGCTGCACCCATTAACTCGTCATTTACATTAGTTGTATCTCCTAATGCTATCCCTCCCCCCTCCCCCCACCCCATGACAGGCCCCAGTGTGTGATGTTCCCCTTCCTGTGGTCCTTGTGATAGTTTGCTGAGAATGATGGTTTCCAGCTTCATCCATGTCCCTACAAAGGACATGAACTCATCCTTTTTTATGGCTGCATAGTATTCTATGGTGTATATGTGCCACATTTTCTTCATCCAGTCTATCATTGATGGACATTTGGGTTGGTTCCAAGTCTTTGCTTATTGTGAATAGCGTTTTTTAAAATCCATTTAGCCATTCTTTTAACTGGAGAATTTAGTCTATTTACATTGTAGATTATTATTGATAGGTATGGAGTTATTTCTGCAATTTTGTTTATTATTTTCTAGTGTTTTTTTTGTGGATAATTCGTTCCCTTCTTCCTTTGTGCTTTGATAGCTTTCTATAGTAGAGTGCTTTTTATTCTTTTCTGTTTCTCTTTTGTATATTTATTATAGTCTTTTGTTTTGTGGTTACCCTAAGGTTTGCATAAAACATCTTATACTTCTAACAGTTTACTTTAAGCTGGTAGCAGCTTAATTTTGATTACATACACAAACGACACTGTTGCTCTCCCTCTTTATATGTTTTATGTTTTTGATGTCACACTTTATATGTTTTTATAATATGCATCCCTTAGCAAATCATTGTAGTTTTAGTTGTTCTTAGTAGTTTTGGCTTTTGACCTTTATACTGGAGATATAATTGATTTATCCAGCGGCACTATAGCATTAGAGTGTTTTGAATTTGACAGTGTACTTAATTTTACCAATGAATTTTGTACTTTTAAATGTTTTTAAGTTACTAATTAGTGTCCTCTTTCTTATGCTTGAAGAACTTCTTTAGCCTTTTTTGTAATGCGTGGTGATAAACTCTCTCAGCTTTGGTTTCTCTGAGAAAGTTTTCATCACCTCTTCATTGTTGAATTCCTCTGCGGAATTATTCAATTCAGATATAGCACTCTTCAGATGTATGATTTCCATGTGGCACTTTAAAAAAAACTTTCTGTCTCTTCATTGAAATTCTCAGCTTGTTCTTGCATTACTATTGCCACTTCTATGAGCATCTTTCAACCATTATTTTGAATTCCCTGTCAGATAAATCACAAAACACTACTTTATTTAGGTTAGTTTCTGGAGATTTATCTTGTTTATTTGTTTGGAATATATTCCCTTGTTTCTTCATTCTCCTTGAATATCTGTGTTGATTTATGCACACTTGATAAGACAACTACCTCTCTCCTTCTTGTTAGACTGGTCTTATATATGAGAATGTTTTCATGAACCCATTTGGACAGAGATTTTAAGGTTCCTCTCAAATCTTTGTGTTTGTCCAAACTGTTATCGCTGTTTTTGGTGAGCCCCTGAAGCTTATTATGTGCCTTGTCTGGTCAGTACCTGGAGACCAATGTAATAGGAGCCAGACTCTTAAGTTGTAGCTGTTATGGTTGGGGTGTTGAATGTGTGTTCTAGTTCCTTCTATCTTCATGATGCGGCTGGGTGTGGGCATTTACTTTTTACTTTTTCTGTACTGGGACAGGGAGAGGAACTATGGAAAATGCCCATTCTCATGTTCATGCTGTACCTTTTGATCCAAAAGGGATAGCTGCTGGAAGTGGGCTTATTATATGTCCACCTGCTTGTTTTCTGTGTTCTCCGGTTATTTAGGATCACAAAGCCCCCTTGACTTTCATGGCTAAGTTGTTAAGGAGACAGTCCCTTAGGTAGGAGCTATGGAGGTTGTGGAGCTTGGTGCATCGCCAAATTTATTCCAGAAAAAAAAAAAAAAAAAAAAAGGATAGGCCTGGATTTATCTCTGGGGTGAGCTGGAGGAATGTTGCATGAAGTGAACTCTGGTTTCAGCTTCCAAAAGGCTATTATTGTTTGCCCTGTTAATTCCCCACTGTAAGTTCATTGGAAACCAGGCTATCAATTAGCCACTGGAGATGTGTGCCTAAGCCTCTGCTACGAGATAGTGAGAGCTGCATGTTCCTGCCCCATTTCTGCACTGCTCTGAGTGGGTCTAGGCCCTGGAAATGTTTGAATGCCTGTTAAAAATCACCTCTTTTTTCTTTGGTCAAGGGAGACTCTTATATGCCTCTGCTCTCAGAGCTAGTAGGTTTAGGGTGGAGTCCTTCTGCAGATAGCTCTAAAAACTGGGGCTTTTAATGTGTGTCCGAAACCTCTTCGGGGGATAAACAGGGATCTGCATTTTTTTAAAGCCTCTTCTTTGTACCACTCCAGGGGATGAAGTCCCTGGAGGTGCTCGTGTGCCCACTTAAAAGTGCTTCTTTTTACTATGGTCTAGAGAGATATATGTGCTAGTTCCCTCTGCTTTTGGAGCTAGGAGATTTAGGATGCAGTTCCTTAGGTAGATGTTGTAAGAGCTGCGGTGCTTGGTGTGAGTACAGACACTTTCTAGGCTGGCAGCAGTTTATTAATTGACTTTCCCATTAATTCCTTGATACTAAGTTAGTCAGAAACCAGGTTAGTAGGTAGACCCTCGAGTTGTGTTTCATAAACCCCTCTGGGGCTGGAGGGAGGGTGGAAAGAGAGCATCATACGTTTCTTTTTAAGTCCTTTTTCTATACTGGCCCAAGGGGTTTGAAGTTCCTGGAAGTGCTTGTGTGCCCAAATAAAACTACAGCCTTTTCCATTACATATAGGTGTCTTTCTAGATACACAGGTCTACTCCCCTCTGCTCCCATAGTTGGTGAATTTAAAGCCAAACTATGGGGAAATTTAGGATTAGGGCCCTCTATGTGGGATCCAGACCCTCCTCTCTAAAAGGAGAAGCTGGATGTTGGGGATTTCTTTCCCAGTTTTATGGTACACTGCCTGGGATAGGATCTGTGCCCGAATTTATCTCAGCTTTTTCTATTCATTAAATGTAGATGTTTTCTCAGTTGCTCAGTAGGCTGAAAGTCTTTCAGTTGGTCTCTGACTTCCTCTCAGAGGTAACTGATCTGTAGACAGATGTTTATTCGGTGCATTTGAATCAGGAGTTTCCTATTCCACCATGTTTCTGACATTACTCTGGCTTGGTGTCTTTTGTCAGCTTTAGAAAAGTATTGGTCATTGTTTTTTCAAATATTGATTCTATCCTGCTCTTTGTCTTTTCATTTTCTGGGAATTTCATTACATGTATATTAGACTTTTCCCTGTATTAGAGTTTTTCACTTTTCCCTGTGTTAGAGTTTTTCTCATGTTCTTTTGCATAATTTCAATTCACTTTTAGTTCTCTGTGCTTTAGGCTAAATATTTTCTGGTGATATACTTTATTTATTAAAATTCTTAGTTTTTGTTCTTTACCCATTTCCCTTTTATATTGTAAATCAGTTAGGGATGTATTTTTATCTACTGTGTAAATATGTTTCTCTCCACTCCGTTGTCAGATACTTAAACGTAGTATTCCCTCATTGCACCTAGTTCATTCAGTGTCTTGAAAGTAACAGGAATGCTGTAATTTTTTAAACTACTTAAATTAATGAATACAATTTATATCTATGCCTCATATTGTTTGCTGATGGACGATTATGTAATATACCTTGAAAGTACATTACTGCATTGGTTATACATTTTGACATATACAAAAATGCCCAAACTAGTGTTGAACATGTTGTAGTTATATACTAAACAGGACTATAATAAACTATTGATATAATTAGGAAATAGTTGTCTGAAATTATCTACGTGATTTTTACTGGTTAACACTCTGCTTCATGAAACCCATTTTCAAGATCGTTATCTAAAGGTAGTTGTTAGCTTGTTCTCCGGTTGGTATTATTTCAGCTGCAAGTAACTAACACTCAATTATAGGTAATAATAAAGATTTTATTATCTCACATAACAAGTTTGAACATGAAGGATTTTCATAGTTGGATAATTCATTATCTCTATAATGTCATCATGCACTCAAGTTCTTTTTCTATTCTGTTCTACTCAGGCTTTTTCTCTCATGAGAAAAAAATGTAACATTGCAGACATTCTTGAAGCTCATATTCATCATAGGTTTATACAGATTTCTTCTCAGGGATTCGTAAAGAATTATCCCACTTGTGATAATCCTGAAACCATCACTTGTAGGGAGGATAGCGTACCTTCAGTGACTTCCTTAGACAAATGAAGGTGTCCTCTCTGAGAATGAACAAAAATGGTTTTCTTTAAGGGGAGGAGGAATGTCCTCTGGCTAGACTTGGAAAAAAGTAAAACCAAGGGTAATTCCCTGAAAAACTTCTATTTTCTGTACCAGTGTCATGCTTGGAAAATTGTTGATTAACCAAGTAATGTCTTAGGAAAGAAACTAGGTATCTATATTTTAAAACTATGCATTTCCTTTATTTATTAAAATGTTATTTATTTAGTTTTCATCCTGTGACAATATAAATAACATATAACAATCTTTACAATAAAGTAAATTCATTTTTTCAAAATTTTGAATGTATGTGGTAGACTAAACTTTGATTTCAAATCGAATTTTCACATTGTGATACTACTTTTACATAAGGCATCTAGATTATGAATTACTTGCAGGAAAAACCATGTGTCCTTGTGCCTCCAGAGTTTCTTTCTAGGGTCCCACTTGTGTAAAGGTTTTAATGAGGTAGATTTAGATCTCTAAGCCAACACTTGAAAAAGAATGAATATTTTCAAGAATTACTATTATAAGTTCAGTACTGCTCAGTTCATGAAAAATTTGAGTTCACACCTAGGATTTTAAAAGTTGGCCATTAATTAATGATTATTCATTTACAATGGTCACCCAGGTCTCTAAACATTATTTTGAAGATTGTTGTGTTTCTTTATTTGCACTTAAACAAAAATACCATCTGATAGTTACATGCAACATGTAAACCTTGGTGGTAAATTTTATTCACTAAAAAAACAATTATTCCATTATGTTCTAAACTTAGGTAGAGTGTACCGGATACTGATTTCAAGTAGAAACTCACTTTACCAGTTTTGGCAACATTTTCTTCCATAAGGCCCTTAGTGATATCCCGCTTTCCTTTTTATTTTAAACATTGTACTGTCTCCTTTTTCGATTAAGAAGTAATCAGAGGTGATGCTCCTTACGATCCCTGTATCTGCAATATAGAATCTCTGTGTGTCAATAATGGCCAAATATTGGCACTATCATGTGTTTCAACCTAATATTTATAGTTCCTGTGGTGCAGAGAAACAGGACCCAGTTCCATTTGGAGACTTGTTGAATGCGGGTTAGCATCATAACTAACTCCTACCAAAAGACGAATAAAATGAACAGAAACAACTCTAGAATTTAAACGCTATAGACTTTCCACTTCTCTTGATATAAAGTTCCACTACTTATTACTGGAGGTAGTTTTTGTGGTATTGGCAAGGAACTGGAAATGGTTTGTGATATGAACAACAAAAAATTGTGTGAGCTGGACTTGAGTTTTGGGGCACTGATGTATGCCATGATCCTCTCAGGCATTGTGCTGGCAGGTATTATGATGACTGCAAGGTACATTAACTAACATGATGCCAGTCAGCCTGAACTCTTTCTTTAATATATCGCCTTGGCAATCCTAAGATGATTAAAATTTCTGCAGCCAGTAACAGTGACAGTGGTGATGGAGGATCAGGGATGGTATCTAGTATTGTTAACTCAAAGACCAATGACGGGTTGTGAAGAAGATGCTATCCACCCTGCTCTGAATGCATTTCCAGTGGTTCTTATTTTGGGGGGAAAAAAAGGTTAAAATTGAGTAGAAATAGGAAGATAAATTTGAACTAGAGAAATATCTTCAGAGAAATTATGCTCATTCCATTAAAACTTTATTCCAGGAGACAAAATGTTTAAACTTTTTTTTTTTTTTTTTTTTTTGCTAAAGATGACTTTTATGACCAAATACATTTGGAAAACACCGAGTTAATAAAAACTAAACAGGTTTATTCTAAACTGTTTGGTCTTTAATATGGTAGTTGATATGCAGTTTCAGTCTCATTAAATACTGCATGCACCATTTTGCACAGTTGAATGTTTGCATTATTAGAAAGTTAATTTATTTTCAACAGATCATGAGATTATTGAAAATTAAATAAAGTGTGAAACAATATTTGATATATTTTACTTTTTAATTTGTGCTTCTATACTAGAATTAATTTTGTTGATATTAAATTATGTCTCCAATAAACAGTGTCTACTGAAATAGAGGCCCCCTTCCATTGCTCTGTGCATTTATCTTTTCTGTCTATTTTATCTTTTCTTTTTATTGGTTATTCTCTTCCATAGTAACATTTGCAGCATGTTTGATTTGGAAGTGCAGCATTCTGAAGTTAGGTAATATATTTTACCATAACAATTTTAATGGTTTCAAGTTACAAGAGATTTAAAAGATAATAAGCAATTTTACCTCTCCTAATAAACTTTTGCCCCTTTCTTATTAAGAAACAAATTTCAAAGACTAATTAATGTGATCTTCCTTTTGAAAAATCTGAAGGTTGTTTTTCAAGATTTTTCAACTACATAGCAAACCTACACAGGCGTTCTATCTCTGATATATTATCACATAGCTTTCCAAAGTGAAAGAAAATTAGGCTTTGCCACCACTGGAATCCACACTCACGTAAATAATTTCTTTATGGCATGATATGTGTGAAGTATTATGTAGTTATCATTTCTGTTACAAAGGAGATTGTAAATAATGAATTATTTCTTTTTAAAATTTAATTTTTTTAACTGACAGTCTTTCTTTTATGCTTTTTTACAACTTAAACAAAAATAGCATCTGATAGTTACATGGAGAGCTTCCTATAGACATGCTGTCAGTTGGAAAGCATTTATATTCAAAAACAAGTTTTTATAGCATATGTTACAAGGAGTGTGATTGGCACCTAGGTCCCTTGGCAACTCAGAATAAGAAATGAATTGATTTATAAACATAAATGAAGATGGTGCACTTTATTAACATCTCTCTATTCATTTCATGTTTATGTAGGGGCCAAAAATTAAAAACTTTAACTAAATCTATGTTCTCTTGTAGAAGAAAAATGTGACATCTCTTGAACTACTAGTTCTTTGTAATTCTAAACAGGAAAAATTACCCTCTTATAAGAATTCATTTTTTTTTTGCATAGGGTTGCTCGTGTCTTATGCTGCCTGCTTGTTTAAAACTCACGTAAATGATTACAGCCCACTGAAGGTAGAAGTCATACTTCTGATTTCAGTGTCAGGATTATGAAAGTAAAATACGTAAAATACATGTCTGTAAGGAGAGGCAGCATAGCCTATTTTAGTGGAAAAGATTTAGACTGTGAGCTGAGAGCTCATGTCTAATCTTCTGTTTATTATTATGAATAATGATACTCATCTTTTTCCTATATGTCAGGCAGGGATTCTGGAAGCTGTATATATGTGAAAGTATTTGCATCCTATGGAGCACACAGACTAGTATTATTCTTACCAATGTTGCTCATTACAGTAGGAATTTAAAGATCCCAGAGAACTTTTAGATTCCATTTTCTGGGTTTCCCATATTTCATATTTTTGTTTTCTGTGTTCTAAAAGGCAGTTGAGTTTATTTAGCGTTAATTCTGCATCACCAAGCCCAGTGCTGTGCACACAGTAGGATTTTTAATGTTTGTTTATCAAGTGGTGAATGAATGCTTTGCAGTACAACTGAATAATTGAGACAAATACAGTAAATGGAGTTTAAGTTGAATGATTCTTTTTAAATCATTTTATCTGCCATGTTTAAATACCATTAGTAAAATGTTGACACATTTGGACTCTTATCGTTATTATCTGGCATAACATCAGGACTACCTAAGAGTTTATTTTAGCACTGTCACATTGCTAAACAAAGCTCATCAGTTATTACTTTAATTTGGCACAATTTCCTACCTATTTCAGAAGGATAAAGTATGGTTTATGCTAGTTGTTTGTCTCCAACCTTCATAACACTTATTTAAACATTGCGTTATATCCAAATTAGCCTAAAAAGACTCCATTCATTCACTGTTCTTTGGCTGGTGTGCCCCTTACTCACTGATTCATTGACTGTGGTTGATTATAAACTGCCAGTGAGATCCATTTCTATGGATTTGTCATTTGTTACAGTTTAAATGCATCACAATTCCCTCTGCTATTGGACTTTATAATGTGTAATACGGTGTTTTTAATGACCTTCCCTGCAAAATACACTCCCTTGATCTCAGGTCAGCCTAGTTTAAATCTGTTTTGTTGGACATTACCCCCAAGAAAATTTGTGTCCCTCGTTATTCTTCTCTTTCCATGAAACCATATCCTGCAATATTTTGAAAGCCAGAGTGCAAAATAATTGTGTCTCTATAAAATATTTTCAGAAAGATAAACAGCCACAATATTTTACATTAGCCTCTTCACCAAAATCACCTTTTACAAAAATTTTCTTCATTCCTAATAAATCGTGTAAAGTTCCACAAAGCCACCCTTTTAGTTAGTTGTGTACTGGCCTGTTTGTGAACCCCTTAAGAAAAAGGATAAAACCACTTTTGCTTCCCACCATCATCACAGTTCTTTATACTTAACAACTTTAAAGAGCAGCCAACAATTTTCATCAAATCAAATTGCCCTAATACTTCCATAAAAGATTTATAAAAAATTATTTCTGGGACTGCTCCACAAAGGTCTTTAGGAAGACTGTTGCTTAAAGCCAAAAAACTACAAGAGCAGGAGCATAGCTGTCTTGCAGTTTTCAGACCAAGTAAAAGAGTAGGCATTAGAGCATTGAGACTTTCACCTGAAACTGCTTGTTTAGTTTGTGATGAAGAACTAAATACTGTGAAATTTTGTCCAAATTCTTCTAGATATCCTCCTATCTCTCTTCCAAAAAAATATCTAAATTAGGATGACTGGATCATTGTCATTAAATCTTGTTCAAGAGCAAAGCTATTAAATCTTGTAAATTTCTGGTCAAAAAAAATAATGGGAAAGTGAACTAACATTGACTTTATGCTGTTATTTTGAGATTCTGTGCAGCTAGTTGCTTTATATAATTTATCTCATTTCATCTTGACCACAATTAATATTAGGCCTTCATGGCTCTCATTTCAAGAAAGGTTAAGTAATTCGTGCAAGGTTACACAACTAGCAAGAGGAACAGCCATACTTCGAACCCATTTATGACTGACAAAAAAGCCCATGCTATTTAATTACCCACTCTGTTATTTGTGCTCTTTTACCTTCAATTAATAACTAGACTTGGTTGTTAAATGAATCTTAACCATTTTTTATGGGTGAACTGACAAGAGTTAATGTAAAGAATATTGAAGCCAAAAACTAAGTTGTCAATTATCATACTGGAAAATAAATAGTAATGCGGTCATCATTTAAAAGTCAGCTGGATGCACAGAAAGGATCAATCTGTAAAGAAACTTTCATAGTTTAATATGTCTGATGTCAATATAAATCCTACTTATTTCTCCAGCTTTGACTTGGATAACCACATCTTCTGTGGCTGGCTGTGCAGTAGGCAAATGGAAGTACCCTTGATTCTGACTTTTCTCTGGAAGTGAATCCAGAGAGAAAATAAGCAGCTTTTCTATTCTTCCTCATCTTTAGGCACCCTAGAGGAGGTTGCTGATGTTAATAATCAACTATATCACTTTTGAAGACTTAGTTTAATATATGTTGATCGTTTCCTTACTGTTTGCCTTATTGGGGGAACCCATTCTTCTCCAGAAAAGGACAGATCCTCTCTTGGATTTATATATATATATATTATGCAGAAACGTTTCTTCTAGAACTTCTATATATAAAAGAATTATAGGCCAGGCACGGTGGCTCATGCCTGTAATCCCAACACTTTGGGAGGCCAAGGCAGGTGGATCATTTGAAATCAGGAGTTCAAGACCAGCCTGGCCAACATAGTGAAACCCTGTCTCTACTAAAAATGCAAAAAAAAAAAAAAAGCAATTAGCCAGGCATGGTGGTGCACACCTGTAGTCCTAGCTACTCAGGAGGCTGAGGCAGAAGAATCGCTTGAACCTGGGAGGTGGAGGTTGCAATAAGCTTGAGATCGCACTACTGCACTCCAGCCTGGGTGACACAGCAAGACTTCATCTCAAAAAAAAAAAAAAAAAAGAATTCTAGCTATCAACAACAATCACCGAGTGATAGACAGCACAGTTATTTACAGCACTATGGAGATCTAGGGTTTAGTTTTAGTTCTACCAATACCTTTGCTCACGAATACAGGCGTTTTATACGAACATCTCTAAATCTCACTTTTTTAATCTGTGAAATTTAAGGAGAAAATTAGGTAATCTGCAAAATTCTATCAGCTCTACATTTACAGTTTTCCAGCACATTTAAGGCCTACCTTTTGCTTTATAATGAGGTCAGGGAAAGTCTACAATGTGCCAGGAGGTGAATGTGTAATGCTGTCTGATGGAAGTATATTCCTAAGTTTTCCTCCACCTATTGCCATCCGAATAATTTTGAAAGGAATTATATAAGTGGCTTACTGCTGAAATCACAAGCTTTATCTTTTTCCATCTGATTTTTCATAATATGCATTCTTATTTATTTACTTATTTATTCATTCATTTATTCACTCACTCATTTATTTAATTTTAGACATGAGGTCTCACTATGTTGCCCAGGCTGGAGTGCAGTGGCTGGTCACAGTAAAATCATACCACAGTACAGCCTCGAACTCCTGGGTTCAACAATCCTCCCATTTAACCTCCCTACCACAGATGTACTCTATTGTGCCCAGCTTCTTCTATCTGATTTTTGAGAGGTCCTATAGTATTCGATAATTCTGCTTATCAGGGAGGATAATCTAGAAATGTAATCAGAAGGAAACTTATGCTGGTTATGAAGTCATCCAGCTTGAGATAGAACATTTCTCCTATGTCACAGGATAATGTATGATTTACCTTGTTTATATTGCTAAGGGATTGAGGGGACTATACTATATTAATCTCAAGCTTTGGAGTCTGACTTCACTAAAGGTATGTAATTTGACATTTAAAAAAAAATTTTAAGCCTTAGTTGTCTCAATTATAAAATAGACTATAGGTTTAAAGAGGTTTAAGTTAATCCTCTTTAAATAGATATATTTGTATATGATGTAGAATATATATTATTAAATATACATATAATTTAATATGGTATCTATCACATACTTAAACATTAGCTTTTATCGCATTAATATTATTATTATTTTTATTGATAGTGGCATTGGTAATGGTAAAAAGTAACACTGTTGGCTGGGCATGGTTGGTTCACACCTATAATCCGATCATTTTGGAAGTCCAAGGCAGGTGAATGATTTGAGCCCAGGAGTTTGAGACCAGCCTAGGCAACATGATGAAAACCCATCTCTACAAAAAATACAAAAATTAGCTGGGCATGGTGGCATATACCTGTAGTCCCAGCTACTTGGGAGTCTAAGGAGGGAGGATCACTTGAACCCAGGAGGCAGAAGTTGCAGTGAGCCAAGATGGCACCACTATACTCCAGCCTGGGTGACAGATCAAGACCCTATCTCAAAAAAAAAAAAAAAAAAAGAAAGAAAGGAAAAAAAAAAGTACCACTGTTCTCAGGGATGCAAGGATGTTTCAACATATGCAAATCAATAAATGTGGTATGTTGTATCAACAAAAATGGCCAAAAATCATATAATCACTTCCACAGATGCCAAAAAAGCATTTAATAAAATTCATTATATTTTCATAATAAAAAATATCTCAACAAACTAGGTATAGAAGGAATATACCTTAACGTGACAAAGGTCATGTATGACAAACCCACAGCTGGTATCATACTGAACGGGAAAAAAACAAAAGTCTTTTCTTTAAGATCTGGAACAAAAAAGGATGCCCACTTTTATGACTTTTACTCACAATGTTTATTCCTGGCAAGGGAGTCCTAGGCAGAGCAATTAGGCAAGGGAAAGAAATTAAGGGCATTAAATTTGGAAAGGAAGAAGTTAAATTAGCCTTGTTTGCATGAGATATGATTTTATATTTAGAAAAACTTGTAGATTCCACCAAAAAACTATTAGAACTGATAAATTCAGGAAAGTTGCAAGATATATAATCAATATGCAAAAATCAGTAATATATTTATATGTTAACAGTGAAAGATCTAAAAAAGAAACCATGAAAAGAATTACATTTAAGGTAGCTACAAATGAAATAAAATGCTAGGAATAGACCTAACCAAAGAAGTGAAAGATCTCTACAATGAGAATTATAAAACATTGATGAAAGAAATTAAAGGGTCCACAAAAAAATGGAAAGATAATCCATGTTCATGGCTTGCGAGAATCAATATTGTTAAAATGGCCATAGACCCAAAGCAATCTACAGATTCAATGCAATCCCTATCAAAATACCAATGACATATTCACAGAAATAGAAAAAATAATCCTAAAATGTATGTAGAACCACAAAAGACTATCATAGCCAAAGGAATCCTGAGCAAAAAGAACAAAATTGAAGGCAACACATAACCTTACTTCAAATTATACTACAAAATTGTAGTAACCAAAAGAGCATGGTACTGTCTCATAAAAACAGACACATAAGCCACTGGAACAGAATAGAGAACCCTCAGAAATAAATCCATGCATTTACAGTGAACTCATGTTTGAAAAGGTCACCAAGAACATACATGGGGAAAAGAACAGTCTCTTTGGTGCTGGGAAAATTGGATATCTATATGCAGAAAAATGAAACTAGAACCCTATATCTCACCATATACAAAAATCAAATCAAAATGGATTAAAGACTTAAATGTGAGATCTCAAACTATGAAACTAGTAGAAGAAAACATT
Source organism: Homo sapiens (assembly GCF_000001405.40). Lineage (NCBI taxonomy): Eukaryota > Metazoa > Chordata > Mammalia > Primates > Hominidae > Homo > Homo sapiens. The sequence continues at coordinate 83,236,625 of NC_000005.10, forward strand.
GAAGGGGTGATTCAGGACATTTGTCTGGGCAAAGATTATTTGCATAAGACCTCAAAAGCACAGGCAACCACAGTAAAAATGGACAAATGGGATCACATCAAACTAAAAAGCTTCTGCACAGCAAAGGAAAAAAAATCAACAAAGTGAAGAGAACAACCCACAAAATGAGATCAAATATTTACAAATCACCCAGCAAGGGACAAATAACCAGAATATATAAGGAGCTCAAACAACTCAATAGGTGAAAAAAAAAAAAATCCATTTTAAAAACAGGTAAAAGATCTGAATAGCAATTTCTCAAAATAAGACATACAAATGGCCAAAGGTATATGGAATGATGCTTATCATCACTAATCATTAGAGAAATGCAAATCAAAACTGCAATGAGATATCATCTCACCCCAGTTAAAATGCCTTTTTTCAAAAAGGCAATAACTGATGCTGGTGAGGATGTGAAGAAAGGAGAACCCTTGTGTAATCTTGGTGGGAATGTAAATTAGTACAGCCTCTATGAGAGAACAATACAGATGTTCCTCAAAAAACTAAAATAGAACTACCTTGGAATCCAGCAAGCCCACTGCTGGGTATATACCTAAAAGAAAATAAATCAGTATATCAAAGTGATACCTTTATTCTCATGCTTATTGCAACACTGTTCACAATAGCCAACACATATATCCAACCTAAGTGTCCATCAATGAATGAATGGATAAAGAAAATGTGGTACATGTACACAATAGGATATTATGCAGCCATAAACAAGAATGAAATCCTGTCATTTGCAACAGCATGAATGGAACTAGAGGATGTTATATTAAGTGAAATAAGCCAGGCACAGAAAGACAAATACTGCATGTTCTCATTCATATGTGGGAGCTAAAAAAAATGCAAATCAAAGAGCTTATAGAAATAGAGAGTAGAATGATGGCTACCAGAGGCTGGTAATTATAATGTAGAGGGGGTGATAAAGAGGGGAATAGGGTAGGGTTAAGGGGTTCAAAAATACAATTAAATAGGAGAAATAAAATCTAATGTTCAGTAGTACAACAGATAAACTGTAGTTAGGAATGTACTGTATATTTCAAAATAAAAGGGTGGAATTGGAATGTTTCTCACACAAAGAAGTGATAAATGTTTGAAATCATGGATATCCTTATTACCCTGATTTGATCATTATACATTGTGTGCTCTTTTTTTTACAATAAATATCACATGTACCCCATAAATATGTACAACTCTTATGTATCCATAATAAAATAATTTTTAAACTACCTATATTACTATTTTATCTAAATTTTCAAAAAAATTTAAATAAAATATGGTGATAGTATTCATTCCAGTAATTAAATATGTTTAAAATATTCTTGGAATTAATCTTAGTAGAAATTGGTAATAGTATTATGAAGATAACATAAATTAGCCCAGTACTGCCTCAAACTTCTGGGTTCAGTGATCCTCCAACCTAAACCTCCCTGCTACAAATGCACTCTATCATGCCCAGCTTCTTCTATCTGATTTTTGAGAGGCCTTATGGTATTCAATAATTCTGCCCATCAGGAAGGATAATCTAGAAATGTAATCAAAGGGAAACTTATGATGGTTTCGAAGTCCTCTGGTCTGAGCTAGAACATTTCTCCTATGTCACAAGATAATGTATGTATGATTTACCTTATTACCTACTAGTGGCAGTCCTCAGAAAATGAGATCTTGCCTCCTTAATGAATGCTTTTGATTTTGGGAAAAGATCTGTCAGGCTTCAGAGAAATGTTGTTGGGAGAAACAATAAGCCTTCACACCCCTGGGTGTTTCCAAAATTTGGATGACGCTGCTGTATTCTAATTATTTTAATGTTTATCTCGGTCAGTAGATGTTATTAAATGCACACAAAGCTCTATCCTGAGCGAATTCTCTAGCTTGCAGCCTAATTTTAAATAAGACAAAAATAAATATTAAAGAATAAGATAAAAATATATAGTAATAAACACTAATAATTACTAAGACACACAAAGTAATAATTTGTATATGTAAGTAAATGGAGAACTGTATTTATATGAGATTTTTCTGATGATGATGTTTGGTCTGTCTCTGAATCGTTTTATTTTTCATAAAAGAAGTAAGGTTGGGTCCTTTTAGCTAAATGGCCTTCGGGTTTATCAGTAACAAAAAAAAATTAAATAATTGTCACCAAAAATATAAAAGTTTTTAAGAAGAGATTTTTTGAAGTGTGAAGAACTAGGCTAAATAATGTCAACTTTTCCTTTAAGAAATAGTTAGCTGCTAGAAGACCACAAATGAGTGATAAGTTTCAGGCAGCTCTGAAGTAGGCTGGTATCTCTTTAGAAAAGATGTTTAATTCCTGTTCACACTAGACTGTGCAATTAATAATTAAATGTCTAATGATTCTGTTCTCACAGAATTTTAAATTTTGCTGGGGAGAATAGATGTAATTGCAGTGTAGAAGAAAATAGTGTACTAGAAAGTATCAAATTAATGTTTTTACTCTAACATTTGTTAAATGCCTGTTAGGTGTTGGGCCTGATGTCTGGCTCCAGGAATGCCACATTGAATAAGATATTGTCTCTGCCTTTTAGTAGTTCACTCTCTAGTTAAGGAAAAGAAAAAATCTAAACAATTAGTTGGAGTGCAAAGTAGCAAGTGTTAACATGGTACTTTGTCATAGATGGTACTCAATATATGTTAAATGTATAAGTGATTAATGAATGAATGTTTAACTGCTTCATAGAAAGTGCAGTGAAGAAAAAGAGGAAGAAATGACTCTCCGTCTGTGATTTACAGAGAAGATTATGCTACAACTATATATTAAGGAGTGAGCAAGAGAGCTACAGTGAGCAGGTCAAGAGGGCAGCACAGGACATTCCAGGTAGAGAGAATAACATATGCAAAGGCATGAAGATATTTTTCTGGCTGGGCGCAGTGGCTCACGCCTGTAATCCCAGCACTTTGGGAGGCCGAGGCGGGTGGATCACGAGATCAGGAGATCGAGACCATCCTGGCTAACACGGTGAAACCCCGTCTCTACTAAAAATACAAAAAATTAGCCGGGCATGGTGGCGGGCACCTGTAGTCCCAGCTACTCGGGAGGCTGAGCCAGGGGAATGGTGTGAACCCAGGAGGCGGAGCTTGCAGTGAGCCGAGATTGGGCCACTGTACTCCAACCTGGGTGACAGAGCAAGACTCTGTCTCAAAAAAAAAAAAAATATTTTTCCTTTTGTTTTAAAGTAAAAGAATAGTGTTGGGTGTGGTGACGCATACCTATAATCCCAGCACTTTGGGAGGCTGAGGAAGGAGGATTGATTGAGGCCAGGAGTTCAAGACCAGCCTGGACAACATAGTGAGACCCTGGCTCTACAGAGGAAAAAAAAACAAAAACAAAAACACTTTACCTGAATGTGGTAGCATGCACCTGTAGTACCAGCTACTCAGGAGGCTAAGGCAGGAGGATCACTTGAGCCCAGGAGTTCAAGGCTGCAGTGAGCCATGATCTTGCCACTCCACTTCGGGCTGTGTGACAGAGTGAGACCCCGACTCAATAAATAAATGAATGAATGAATGTAAAAATATAGGACATATTCAAGGAAGGGGGAGAGGCTGTGTGACTGACTCAGAGTTTATGTGGCAGAGTGGTGAGAAATGAGCTGGATAGAAAGCCTCAGAGTATTAAATTGACATTTTAGAAAGATAACTCTGACTGGAGTGTGGAGGATGTCTAGAGAAAGAAGACACAAGGGGTATTGGATCAAAACAAGAGAGAAGCGATGACCTGAACTAAAACAGTATCCTCAGAAATAGAGAGAGGGGAGAGCTGAGAACTATGTGGAGATAGAATTGACAGAACTTAATTATTTGCTAATTATTACAATTGGAGGCATTCTGACTTTTAGGTTTCTAGCTTAAACTAATAGGTAGATAGTAAAGATAGTAATCAAAACTAATGATGTAAAATGCTTACATATTGAACTCTTACTTTGGGGCCACACAAAAAAATGTCCAGGAAACACTTGGAACTCTGTATCCAGAGTTACAAAACACACAAAGGTAGGTTCTGTATTCTTGTGTGTACAAGATAGCTGAAATGGTGAAAGTGAGTGAGATCACCAGGAAAAACCAGTACCACGGTATATTGGGAGTTCTAAAACTTACCCACTAAGACCAGTGTGAGGAAGAAGAAAGATTGTATTTGAGGGGTTTCTAAGGTAACCCAAGTATTTTCACAAGTATGTAAAAACCAGTGATTATATTTAATTGACATCTTGCGAATGTCCCACTGCACTTTGTAAAAGTGATTCATTCACTGACTTAAAAATTCAGGGCCAGGCGCGGTGGCTCATGCCTGAAATCCCAGCACTTTGTGAGGCCGAGACGGGCGGATCAGTTGAGGTCAGGAGTTTGAGACCAGCCTGGCGAACATGGCAAAACTCTGTTTCTACTAAAAATACAAAAATTGGCAAGGCGTGGTGGCACACACCTGTAATGCCAGCTACTTGAAGTAGGAGGCTGAGGCATGAGAATTGCTTGAACCTCCAGGTGGTGGAGGTTGCAGTGAGCCCAGATCATGCCAATGCACTCCAGCCAGGGCAACAAAGTAAGACTCTGTCAAAAAAAAAAAAAAAAAATTCAGTAATATGAAGTAAATAAAATAAGAAAATAAAGATTTTAGTTGTAAGATTTTTAAGTTAATGCATTTATTAACTAATTGCAGCCATATTAATGATTTATATTGAAATTCAAGAAGCACGACATAATTTTACACAAATCTATCTTTTTGTGTAATGAATATAATATACAAGTGAATTAATTCTGTTAAATAAAATAGTACTTCCCTACTCTCAGTTCACTGATCTTTTTTTTCTTCTCGTTTGAGGAAAAAAGTCCACCTTTCAAAAGTGTCATATACTCTAGATAAGAAGGTTCAAAACTTTTTACTGAGACCCACAGTAAGAATATATTTCATCTTTCAACCAAGTACAGTTGATCCTTGTACAATGCAGAGTTTAGAGGTGCTCACTTCCCATACAATCAGAATACCACATAGAATTTTTGACTTGTCCAAATCTTTACTAATAGCCTACTGTTGACCACAGCCTCACCGATAACATAAACAGTCATTTAACACATATTTTATGTTTTATGTACTATATACTATTATATATTCTTACAATAAAGTAAGCTAGAGAAAAGGAAATGTTATTAAGAAAATCATAAGGAAGAGAAAATATATTTACTATTCATTAAGTGGAAGTGGATTCTCAAAAAGGTCTTTACCCTGGCATTCCCATTGAGTTGGCTGAGGAAGAGTGGGAGGAGGAGGAAGAGGAGGAGGAGGAGGAGGAGGAGGAGGCGGAAGGGTTGGTCTTGCTGTCTCAGGGTGGCAGAGTCGGAAGAAGTGGAAGAGAAGGAAGGGGAAGCAGGAGAGGCAGGCAAATTCAGTGTAACTTTTATTTAAAAAAAAAAAATTCACGTATAAATGGATCCTCACAGTTCAAATCCATGTTGCCCAAGGGTCACTCGTATACACATTGTGTGTGTGTGTGTGTGTGTGTGTGTGTGTGTGTGTAAGCTGACACAAACCTTGCATGAAACTACTTACCCTTGTTTGTTCCTGTACTCAACACTTTTAATCTCCTTAATTTCTTTCTGTGTTTTGCTTCATGGATATTTATTCTGTTTCTCACTTTTGCTAAATGTATGAGATTGTAAATATGAAGTTCTGAGATTATAAGCATGCACAACTCTCCTTTATTTTAAAACAAATAAACAAGAAATATTTATCTCTTGCTCTACTTACTTCATTTTCCTTTTATTTTATTATTATTTTTTTGCCACAGGGTCTCACTTTGTTGCCCAGGCTGGAAAGTCGTGGTGTGATCATAGTTCACTGCAGCCTTGAACTCCTGGGCTCAAGTGATCCTCCTGCCTCAGCCTCCCAAGTAGCTGTTTGGTCTACAGGTGTGCGCCACTATGCCCAGTTTCTTCTTATTTTAAAAATTATTATTGAATGTAACCTTCATTTAACTCCAAATTTCTAATGTATATATAATCAACACTTGCTACTTTAACCTCCCATCACCGAGGCCCTTTTTCCTGCACTTACTTCCTTAGCAATCCCATCCAAAATCAATTTCCTTTGTAATAGCTAGCACTTGTATAACAACTAATGTGCCAAGCTAACTGCTTTACAATTGTTGATATAGTTTACTCACAACAAAAATATGAGGTAGGTTCCATTTTTATCCACAGTGAGATTAAGTAGTTTGCTCAAGATTACACAGATGGTAAGCAGGGCAACTAGGATTCAAAACCAGGTATCATATATAACCAAATCTTAAACTAATTTCTATAACACCACATTGCTATTTAGATTTTCAATTATGATATCTTTCATCTTGTTTTTTTCTCTCTCTCGACATATCATTTATGTTCAAAATTAAACTTTTCTATAAAGACTGGAATAATAGTCTAGAAGTAGCGGTAGTTGGTAAATGTTCTGACTACATGCTTGTATTACTTCAAGGGATGAGGATAATGTTTTAATGGAAGTGATGACATCAAGTTAGTTTCATAATGATAAAGAAGGTGAGTGAACACTTCAGGAAAGATGAAAATATATTCAGGAGTGTATGAGTTTGCTAGGGCTGCCATAACAAAATACTACAAATTGGGGACTTACCAACAGAAATTTATTTTCTCACATTTCTGGAGACTGGAAGTGGAAGATGAAGATGTTGGCAGATTTGGTTTCTCCTGAGACCTCTCTCCTTGACTGGCACATGGCTACCTTCTTCTCTGTACATACACTTCCCTGGTGTTTCTTGCTCTTATAATAAAGACATCAGACTCACTGGGCTAGGGCCCACCTCCTTGACCTCGCTTAACATTATCTACCTATTTTAAGGACTTTTTTCCAAAGACAGTCATATTCTTAGGTGTGCTGGAGATTTAGGACTTAAGAATCTTGGGGGAACACAATTCAGTCTTTTAAAAGAAATTTCTTACCAACAGAAGAGGCACTCTACAGCATGCGGTTACCTTGGAAAGGATTGTGGATCAGTTTAGTGAGAATGAGAGCTAGGAAAAAGATACCAGAAGGGAGGCTATTGATCCTGAAACCAGTGTCAGCTGGATAAAGGAAGCAAGAGATTGGAAAATTGGAAGCACATTTTAATGTTGTGGAGAAGGGAAGGACAAAACAGGAAGGTGTGTGTTAGGTTTGTTGACCTACCCGGCATTCCTAATTACAAGCAGAAAGTTGATGTTCAGGGTTCTGCAAAACTTAGAATCCCTGCTGCATGCCTGTCCCTGAGAAAGTTTAAATTAATAGAGAATGGAGGAAGTAATATTGGAGATGTGGCAGATGAAGGCAGGCTCTTAGAGCATATCTTTCAAATATAATGTGCAAAGTTAAAAATGGTTTTGGAATTGAAGTGGTGTAACTAATTTAAAAGATATTTTTATATTATTTCAAGGATTGTACTGTTATGTAATGGTATATATAGTAGAAAAGGAAATATAACTCTCCTCATTATGTACTTGAAGTATTAATGATTTCTTCTTTATGGGTCACATTTTCCTGTTCTTTCACGTCAGTAATTTTTTATTATATGCCAGACGTTCTGATTTCTATGTTGTAGGATTTTGTTGTCTTTCTTTAAAGATCATTGAGTTTTGTTCTGGGAGACAAATAATTTACTGGAAAGTCAGCTTGCTGTTTTCTTCTTTTTTGTAAGCTCAATTAGGGTGGGTCTAGACCTTTTAGGGGTGTCACTTGAGTGCTTAGCATTTTCAGTGAAGTTCTACATCTCTTACTATATGTGACATCTGGATTTCTGTTCAAATCACAGCTAATGGCTCTTGAGTTAGCTGTTTTCTGCCAGGTCTTCAGCCTTGCTTTGTGCATGTGCAGCTTAATATGCATCCAATGACTTATGATAACTCCTTTGGGGCTCGTTTTTTGTGTAGTTAATGCTTTCCCACAGCTTTGCCTTATAAATTCCAGCTATTTCAACAGCACCAAACTCTACTTTGTGCCTCTTTAGTTGAATGAGGTCATTGTGGTCTGCCTGGGCTCCACCTACATCCCTGTGCTGAGGTCTGGAAAGTACAGCAGGTAGAAAGAGAGAGTGGTCCTAGGGCTCACCTCTTGTATTTCTCTTCTTTCAGGAAGCACAGGCCTGCACAAACTGTTGTCCAATGTGGAAAACCAGTAATTTCTTCTTGAGAAATTGAAAACATCTTAAACATAAGTTTGGCATAGAATTAAATTCAACTTCTTAGAAATTGGTTTTTGCTGAAATCAGTTTTATATATTTCATACTAATAATACTGCTGTTTTGAAGTAAAATATGCATATATATTACAACATATAAAAGATAAATCACACCAGCTTGGAACAATAATGTAAACCACTTTGTAAAAACCCCATCCTGAGAAGGAGCAGCATGTTAAAATCACTTGTGTTGAGAAAAGTGTTCTGAGAATGGTTCTATTAAGGAAAGTTTGTTTTCTTAGCTTTTGATGTCCTCGGGTAACAAAATCAACATTTTTCTGTATTTAATGAAAATAAGTTGTAAAAAAGCAACAGGTGTTTTGGTTAAAAAAAAAAAACTATTCAGCGCTTAAATCATTAGAGTACCCTGTTTTCTTTATTACAATTACCGAAACAAGAGATTTTGAAATTAATCTGTTGCTGTGTAGACTTGGAGAAAGGAGTCTAGGAAGTGAGTTATATGACCTTATTGACCTTTGGACCTATCATGTTTAACATAATTACCCACAATTAGTAGATTTTTAAATAATTTATTGTCTGAAAATATAAACAAAAGAGAAATATGTAGCTACTAGAAACCTAGGAATATAATTGTTATTGTCATATAAATGCATGATAAATATAAAATAAAGGAAAAATTAGAGAAAGATTACTTTTTGAATAATTGCATAAGATTTTTTGGCTGAAAATTAATAGATGTTAAAATGTGCCAGTTTATTTAGATTTCCAATAAAAATGTTCATTTGATATCCGTATTTAAAAGTTATTATTTACCTAAAAAGCAACTATGTATAGTGTAAATAATTGTTTGGAAGACATTTGAAAATATCTTATTTGATCAGGGAAGATAATACAGATTAACTTTAGAAAAGTTTCAGTAAAAATCTATTTCTCGATCTGTTCTCTTTCCCCCACTTTTCTCACTCCCCCCCTCCATCTGTACTTTTAATACCTCTCTCTTAATCTCCTCTACTTCCCTCTGCAACAATCACATTACCTACAAGAAATAGATTATTGTCTATTGAGTACTCATTCTTGAAAGTAACTGTTTCTTTCATCCTTGTTTTTCTATAGATTAAAATCTCTCAAATTATTTATCGAAGTTTCTTGCAAGTTAATTTTTTTCTATCATTGTCCTTTTTCCTATTAAGTTTGGCATAATATTTCTCACTTTTACTTACAGCATTTATATTTTTTATTTTCCAACTGATATACCAGTATGGATATAGATTTCTATATCTATCTATGTATCTATTCATCTGTCTGAACAGTAACAAAAATACACTTTTTCTTTCTTCTTTTCTACTTTTCCAGCTGTGTTATGTTAACCTCCCTTGTGTAACTGTATTCCTTGGCTAAGATATCTGGTAACCATTATTTACAAATAATATACTCCTTTGTACAAGACTAGAATATTCTCCACAGGGACATTTTAAATGCCGACTCCAGTTAAATGTGTTAGGCTTTGAATTCAGTGTTGGCCTTATAATGAAAATTACAGACTTTTTTTAAGAAGTTATGTTTATAGATTAACAAATCTGGCAACATTTTAGTCTGTTACTTTGTCCACATTTAATTAGAAAAAGTTTGTGTCTTTTATATTCTACTTATATAATCTTCAGTATTTTCTTTGGTGCTATTTTTATTAAACAATAATTTTTGGGGCATCTAATACGTACCAAGCAACATGATGAATCATTTTTCTAAATGTCAGTTTATTATGGAAGAATTATAAATTTAAAAATGTGAGCATACATGAAACATTTACCTCATTGGAAAGATGTTTCTTATTTAGGTAGTCTTTTCTCATTTTTTTCCATTTTATACAAAGTGGTAATACTACAAAATTATCAATCCTTTAAAGTAACAGTTTGTGCATTTTAACTTATAAGATAAATGCATTTTGCACAAAAGCACATTTTATGAATTTCAGAGATAGTAAGATAGATAACTTTATGAGGCGTACTATGATCTGATGTCCCCACTTCCAGTTTCAAGAGTAAAATATCTTATGAGGTTGAAATGTGGACTTCCTAGCTGTTTATGAATCATAGTGGAGTGACATACATACATTAACCTTTTTAAACTGTATTTGCCTTCTTTGATTGTGTTTGCTAGGTAAATACAGATTTTAGAAAGGGAAGAGAAAATATTTTAAAATAGTTCTGCTGATTGCCTGCAATTCTGCTTAACCAATTTAGTTCCACAAACAGTGGTTTTAATCAAACCTGATAGAAGTTAATACCAGTTGGAAAAAACTTATGAACAAGTATGCATAATTCTAAGGATTTGGGGCTATTGACAAGGAAATCATAAACACTATTTAGGTAGCCAACCAAGTAAGATGATGATGCCTTCATCCATATCTTACAGCAGGGGTCCTCAATCCCCTAGCAGCAGACCAGTTCTGGTTCGTGGCCTGTTAGGAACTGGGCCGCACAGCAGTCAGTGAGGAGTCAGCCAGCATGAATTACCACCTGAGCTCCACCTCCTGTCAGATCAGTGGCAAAATCATCCCCCCAACCTCACCCGGTCCATGGAAAAATTGTCTTTCATGAAACCCTGTTCCTGGTGCCAAAAAGGTTGGGGACTGTTGTCTTAGAGGAAGGAAAACAATGAAAAATTAATTGGGAACTATCAAGAAATCTGACCAAGGAAGCATCAGAGGAACTGATATGTCATCCACAGAAGATCAAGATGATGCCATCGTACTAGCAAGTTGAAGCTTTCTGTATTCATGATATGTTTTAGATAATTGAAAACCTTGAGTGATTTTCTCTCTGAATACAGTTTTTTAATGAAACTGTATACTGTGGTATTTATTAAATATTTATGCATGTAGACCATACTGAGTTATATGCATAGCACTAGGTATTACTCTACATAATGGTAATTTCAGAAACTTTCAAAGGTAGTTTTGATTAATTATGATTGCTTTGTGTACTGACTTTACAATAATATTCAACTCCAGTAAGAGAACTCAAAACATTTTTCATTTTTCTTGATTAATTATTCTTCCTAGTCAGTGACCTTTACCACTTCTTTATACTGCAGTAATAACAGTAGAGAAAGGTGCTAAGCTGTGTGGGCACAGAGGAGACTTTGGAATAGCGAAGCCCTCCTGACAGAAGTGATATCTTCATTGAGACAAGGGTTGGTGAGAGTTACTACTCTCACCAACTCAACTCTCAGTTGAGCAACTCAAGAGTTGAGCAGAATACTCTTTCTGGCATAAGATTGATCATATGTGCAAACCCAGGAGTAGAGTGAGAGAATGGTACATCTAACAAAATTCAGTATAATTGTAGAAGTAAGCTGACCAGGAAAAGAATGACATTTTAAAAAATACTTTAGGGAGTTTTATTTTTGTCTTGAAGGCAATAGAAAAGGATCTGACTTGATCAGACTTGCATTTTTAGAAAAATTCTCCTAGATGTTTTAATGAGAATTAATTTTATCTGCTTGGCCATGTATAAACTATAGCAGTAATCTAAGTAAGAAACTGTGGAAGTATTGGAGATGCGGATAATTATTAGACAGATCTAAGAACTGTTTATGTGGTACTGATTAGATTTTCAAGATGAAGTTTTGAAAGGCATCAAGACTGATTCCATCTTTGGGGCGTGACAAGTTTTGTGGACGGTAACATTAAGAAAGCTTTGACCTGAACACATTACTGAGACAGCATGCTCATAATAAGGAGTTCACACATTGCTAATAATCATTGCTAACTGTAATTTGAAGATAGCTAAACAGTCTTCATAAATACAAGATTTCATTAAAAAATACATTTATAATAAACCATGATAAATTGACCAGTTACTATTCTTGTCAAATTGATGCTCAAAGTAACTTTAGCTTTTAATTGTCTGATTTTGAGTATAAATAACCAAAGGATATACAAATTAGTCATTTAAAAAATAAAAACCTTACGAGATTTTTGTTGAAAATTTTGAAAAATCATAAGTAACATGAAGTGGTACAACATAAAGAAAACATGTGGATGTTTGGAAATGAAAATTCTTAAGTAAAACTTTCTAATTTGGGCAATACTTTTTGACCCAATACTAACTTAAAAGTGCTTCAAAATGGTCTGAAAGTGCATTAGTCTATCTTACCAAATCTGGATAATATAATCATTTTTAAAAAGCATAATAAGGTAAGTTACAGAATCAGGGATTTTTTTATACCAGAAGTAACCATGTAGTCTAATTTTTCCCCACCTAATTTTATGGATTTAAAAATAAACCTTTACAGAATTGTTATGTGACCTGCCCATAGTTATCGAGACAATGACTAACAGACTCAAGTTTGGAATTCTTCTAAAGTATTTTATTAATTCAGTATAAACATTTTCTTAGTTATTTGACCATTTGGTATAGATTTTTTCTTATTCCTTCTAAATGAAAGTGTTGCCTAATCCCATTCGGTTTTAAAGCTAGTTAGGACATGTCTAGTGTTGCAAATCCGGAAATCTCTTTTTTGAAAATCATTTCACAGTTTTCAAGGAATGCCTCCGAAATTTAGCCTTCTAGTTTCCTTTTCATAGAACAACTACAAACTGGCCAAATTATATCACAGAGGCACCAACCTTGTTGTAAAGGAGTTTAAAGAAGTGCAAATAGAATGTTTTTTCCTAATGTATCAAAATTATTCCAGAGTTTTCTGAGATTAAGCATGCATTGGCAAAATGAAGTGGAAAGGTTTATCATTGTCAAATTCTGTTAAGTTCTTCTTCCTACCCCTGTTAGTGATCAGAGAGAGAGAGTTTGTGGTATATATTACTGTTCCTTATCCACCAAATTCACCAGATAATCATGCCAATAATTTAGTCTGCCAATTTTATCAGATTTTGATTTTGACTTACTAGTCAAGCTAGTGATCTTGTCCTAGTTCTAACCAGGTAATGTAGAGTCACTGCAGGTAATATGCTGGTAATATATTATTTTCAAAAAATAACCTGAAAGATTCCCTCTACCATTTCTTTTACAAAGGTTTTATATTTTATTTATTTTGTCTAATTTTTAAATTTATCCTAGTTCAATGAAAGCCTCTCTAAGCTTTGTAAAAAGTCTAGATTTGATTAACAGTTGAGTAAAATAAAAAGCAATGAAAATTTCAAAAATCCTTAGACATCTCTGTGAAGAAATCACTAGCAAATGTCTTAGGTTGACAGAAGTGAACCTATGAAAACAATGAAGCTTTGTGTTGGCTCCAAACATTTCATGACATAGGTAGCTGTTGAAAGCTGAGAAATTGTAGTTTTGTTTTCTGAGAACTTATTAACCATTTAAAGTGCTCTCAGAGGTTTGTTATTTTTAACTGCAAAATGATATAAATTGAAGGCTTAATGTTGTTCTTTCACAAATTGCTTTTCCCCACTAATGTTTTTCTTTTCTTAATGTTAACTGGAACTGGCACCAGCAGGCATAAATAATCAATAATATGGTATTTCACACAGATGCAAAATAACTTGTAAGTTATTTATTATTAGGTTCCATTAGTATTTAAGAATTTATAGCAATCATTGAATATTTATTGAGAAATTACTTAGTGTTACACACCATTCTAGTCTGTCTTGATCTATCAGTGGATAAGACAAACTAAGTCCCTGCCTTCATGGAGCTTATAAATATTAGATAAATTATTGCAAGTTTGATGAAATCTAAGGATGCTTGAGGGCTACCCAAAAGTTCTACCCAAAAAGGTGGTTGTATAGTTTCAATTCAGATTTGCTGTTTGAGTTCGTTCTGAAACATCCTGAAAACCTAATTTTAAAGCCAGGCTTTTCTTAAATCAGTTTGCTCAGCGTGAGCTAGCCCTTTAATTTTCTCTTTTGGAAAATGTACTTCAGGGCCACCTGATTGTAAGGATTATGCTTTCAAAAAAAGCATCTATATAAGAAGAAAAGCAATGTAAGAAATAAAATTATAATAGATATTTGACAATGGAAAAGAAAAATCGAAGCTTCACAGATTAATTTGGGAAATGTAGTAAACAGCTGGAAATCTATGCCTACCTTTGGACTATTAAATTAGTTCCTTTTTAATTGCTTGTGTGGCTTATGGCTTCCTTACAAATAGTTGTGTCTTTCTGTCCTACTTAATTATAAACTTTTTGAATGCATGCTTGTAGTGTCTTCTGGATAGTGCCAGAGTTCCAGAGTTTTCAAGGAATGCCTCTGAAATTTACCTTAATATTTGCCTCTGCATAGAATAGTTCATAAAACACTCAATAAATATTGGTTGAATGAGTGGAGGAATAAATGAATTCTTAAGGTCTGAAGAACTGAATTCCTTTGGTAGTAAAGTTTTAAGAAACAATTTTAACAAATTAAACATTGAGGCCAGGTGCAGTGGCTCACTCCAGCACTTTGGGAGGCTGAGGCGGGTGGATCACGACGTCAGCAGATCAAGACCATCCTGGCTAACATGGTGAAACCCCGTCTCTACTAAAAATACAAAAATTAGCTGGGTGTGGTGGCGAGTGCCTGTAATCCCAACTACTCAGGAGGCTGAGGCAGGAGAATGGCTTGAACCCGGGAGGTGGAGGTTGCAGTGAGCTGAGATCGTGCCACTGCACTCCAGCCTGGGCGACAGAACGAGACTCCGTCTCAAAAAAAAAAAAAAAAAAAAAAAATTAAACATTGAAATGTTTTGTAGGCGTAGAACAATAAATATCTAATATAATCAACTTACTCTTTTTTATGCTGCAGATACTTCTGGGGTCTGTGGTTTATCCTTAATAGCCCACTCTGCCTCTGACATTGAGAGTATTAGATTTCCAAAGATGACCTCCTGAGTTACCCCAGTGTCAGCAGGTATTTGTCATTAAGTCTGACTTATAGCTGTACTGGCTAAGAGAGGAGGCTGACATTTGGGAAAGTTATGTAAACAGATGCAGACACATACATTCTTAAGTGTTTGGTGCTATGTTAATAATCAGTTTATTTGGTGATTGGTAATTAATAGATTACACCATTGACCTGTCTTGTAAGATGGTCGTCAGTTATTCAGGTTAGGTTGTGAAAACTGAGTAGCAACTGATTTACAGAATTGAAAATGGGCATTTGATAAATGGCATGGAAAAATAATGTTTGCTTGTTTGGTCAGATTAGAAATTTACTACCTCAAGATAGGTAACTTTGAGATACTGCCTATTGAAGTATGGTGTGCTAGACCTTATCTCAGCCTCTTTTCTTGATTATCTTTATACTTGTCAGTAAGACATACTACAGAGGCACAAGGTAGCCTGAGGCATTGGTTGGTTGTTTTCTCTTGGGAAAGAAGGAATATGTGTTTTGAAGTTTCAGACTCATTTAGGGTTGTATTTTAAGGTTTGCGTTTTGTGCTTTTTTCTCTTAATATTTTATATCTTTTGAAATGAAACAAGGACTTATTTATTCTAAATATTTTATAAACACTTGTGAAATGAATAAATAAATAAAACAGCCAAAAGCAGTCATAGTAGACTGAGTACTCTGTGTTCATAATAGATGGTGGTTCTGTGACAATTGGAATATTTTGAATAGGAAAACTAGTATTTATCTTACTTTTTTTTTTTGTCTGTGAGAAGATATAGAAGATAGCCTAAATGAATATTAATTTGGTCTTTCGTTGACAACATACTGTTTTAAAAATAATACCTTAATGATGATATTGGATATTTCTGATACTTTTTTATTTAAAAATATTTGTAAATATGTACATTGATTTATAATCAATTTACATTATTATTTACTCTATTTTGTCATCTCAGAAATTGTGGTTTATATACATTTTCTCAGCTGAGAAACTTAGAGATTCTGTAATATACCCAAGGTAAATGCAGAACTGGAGATCCAAACCCAGGCATTCTCACTCCACTTTACCCTACATCTCATCTGGAGGTTTATAAGTAAGTTTTTGATTAAAAAATAAGATACACATTTGAAAATAAGAGATCCAGTCTTTATATTTATCTTGTATAAAATTACCGAGTAATATGTTAGGGTTTAGCACAAGGCATGGGTTCCAGCTATAGGGTATTCATAATTTAATTGGAGAAACAAGAGATAAACATAAAAAGAAAGTAACAATATAAGATTGTATGTATAAGATGAGTGATTCAAACTGTAAGTCCTACAGAGACAGGAAAGATTTCTGTGGATTGGGACTACTAAACTAGGATGACTGAAATGAGTTGAGCTGTGCTAGAAGGAGGCACATAGATGAGCCAGTAAAGGAGTAGAGGGCATTCAAAACAGGGGAAGTACAGAACAAAAGTAAAGGTATTGTTGCCCTGCAGCCCTTGGTATAGCTTACATATATGGTAGAAGATTTGTGGGAGATGTGGTTACAAAGGCAGGTGAAGGTCACATTGTAGAAGGATTTGAACGCAGGGCTAAGATCTTAGGACTTTATTTTGTAGGCAATGGGAAACCACTCATGGTTGGTTGGTTGGTTGGTTTGTCTGTACATGGCATTTGCAAACAGTACACATTTTTTTTTTTCATGGTCAAGACACCTGAAGATTAGAGCTTCCTTCCTTCTATAAGCTACATTGCCACAACTGTGAATAACATGCTTCACTACATTGGGGTGTATGTTTGTGTGTGTGTGTGTGTGTATATGTATTTGAGGGGGCTAGAGATGAGCATATCTGTATGGCGGGGCAAGGGGAAGAGAGGTGGCAATCTTCATTCAAGTATTATAGACTCTTTCTGTGTGCCAAGCTATATATCATATGAAAAGAAAAACATCTATAAATACAAGATAATAATGAAGGCCTTATAAAAACAAATTATAAACCTGAAAAATGATTTATAAAAATAATGAGATTTAAAGATTTCTTGGTCAGAGGCTGAAGTTTACCAGGTAATTTAACTTAGGAGATTCAGCCAAATTCCTGGCAGCTTAGCCAACAGTGTCATTTCATTCCCACATTGAGAGTACCCAGGGAAGCTAACTCCCTGCCTTTCTCATGTCTGAACTACTGTTGCCAAGATCCTGCAGTTCTTCTGTCAGATGAGAAGAAGTGTGGCTTTTTGTGGAGCCACCTTTCACAATAACAGGGCTTGTGAAAAGATTCCCCATTTTCAAGATGCAGTGAACCTAACAAGAACTTGAAATTCATCCCACGGCCATACCAATCAGTATTCCAGCTGTAGTAAGTTAATTGGCAATCGTTTTTTGTTTTTTTTTTTTTCTTTTGTCTTCTATTTAAAAAAAAAAATCCTGGAAATGGTAAAAGACATGTTGTCGTGACAAAAAAAAATGATTGCAATATTAAACACTGAGAATTCTGGAGGTGGAATCTTAAGAAAAAAACCTCCCCAGTCAATATCGAATCCATACTTTTCTGCCTGCATTTGAAAACTTGCAAGCTGATTTAACATATCGCTCTGCCTTCTTACTCCTTCCATTTCTTTTCTGCTGCCCATATTTATCCTGTCTCATTTCCTGCACCTTTCATGCATGCCATTACAACAAGGCCACCCTCCTCCTCATTACCCTTTGAACATTTGCCATTTTTTTCCGACTCTATTCAAGTTCTCTCTCATATCTAAAATGAATACATATAACCTAATACACTTAATACGAATTGATTTTTTTAACAATGAGATGCCAGACTTGAAAGTGAAAACTTGAATTATTGCACTCAAATATATATATAAGGTAATGAATATTATAGACATTTTTGAACTCCTATCTGTGACCTCCTATTGATATAGTTGGGATCCCTTCTGTTGTGTGTGAAATAGCATTGCTCATTTGGAGACCGACAGTCATTGTTCAAGGGAGCTAATTTCAGAGCAGAATTGTAGTATTTAGCATCAAGACCAAAGACAATGAAAAGACCAAACATTATCACAATTGGAGGAAAGAGGCAGGATGGGTTGAAATTTGAAAAATGTAGACCAGGCGCGGTGGCTCACGCCTGTAATCCCAGCGCTTTGGGAGGCCGAGGTGGGTAGATCACCTGAGCTCAGTAGTTCAAGACCAGTCTGGCCAACATGGTGAAACCGTGTCTCTACTAAAAATACAAAAATTAGCCGGGCATGGTGGCAGGCTTCTGTAATCCCAGCTACTCAGGAGCCCGAGGCAGGAGAGTTGTTTGAACCCAGGAGGCAGAGGTTGCAGTGAGCCGAGATCACGCCATTGCGCTCCAGCCTGGGCAACAAGAGCAAAATTCCGTCTCAAAAAAGAAAAAAAAAAAGAAAAGAAATTTGAAAAATGTTCGAGATGAGCAATTTAATACTTAGGTACCAAGTATTGGAGTAGTACCTTTTTATCCTGGTTTCAGGGTGGAGAGAGAAGGATAGAATGGATTGTTTTTGCCTTTTATTGAAGGCTAGATAGATAATGAAACTTCATTTTAAAGAAATATTTGAAGTAAGAGAATCTATTACAATATGGTTTGCTATTACATTTATGTGAAAAACTGAGGGGAACACTGTTTCCCATGGTGCAAACACAAACCAAAAAAGATGTATTCCATTTAAACTGTAACTAAGCTTATACAGCTAGCCCTTTTTCTTCATGCCAATTTTATAGAAAGGTTAAACTGTAATTATCAAGAGGAATGAATCATAATGTGGTGAACTGGCCAGAAGTACTTGGTCACACACAACTTCAGTTTATTTGTGGTATAATAATGATAGTCACCAAGAAGTTTGAAGTATGAGAACATTAGACACTTCTCCTACAATTTTGTTTCAGGGCAATTAATAAAATTCTCAAATTAAATTTTGCCACACATACGATTATTAACTAAATATTTACTTGTAAGTAAGCACAAAATAATTCATGAACCTGTCCTATAGGTTTGAAAAAAAATTGCAAGCTCTCGGTCCTTTTAGGTGTCCCAGTCACTACCTCATAGAAAATGTTCATTTTTGACAAATGTAAAGATTCCTGAGCAGGAATGATGATTCTTCCTGACTTCAAACAACCACAGTTGTTCAGGGTTCATAGCTGGACACAGAACCATTTAAAAATTTAGCAGGTTATCTCTAGGTGTAAATAGGCCTCATGGGATTTTTACACCTTGTCCATAAAATGATGGGCAGTATTTCTAAAATATTTTAGCCAGTCTGTATAACACTAGTACTTTTAATTTACTCATGAAAACCCATATGTAATATTCATCAAGTTAGTTTACATGCTTTGTTTTTATCAATAGGCATGCATTTTGTCATTCAGTATACTGATTAGTAAGTCATCAGTTATTGATTGAAATATGAATAACAAAAGTACCTGGAGTGGCCTCCTTAGGAGTACAGATTTCTGATCCCATCAGCCTGCTTCTGGCCGGTGCATTCCTGATTAGATGCTAGAAACATCTTGGTTATAGTCCACCCTCACTAACATACCTTTAGTAACATTGTATTTTAAAGTAAGTTGCAGACATTATAATACATGAGGTAATCACTTCCCAAATACAGTATCCTTTTTGGTTGCCAATTTGTAAGACATCATTTGGAATTCTGAAATGAATGGCAGAAATTTTCACTAATTTTATTTTTAAAAATTTTGCCTTGTATTTTAATTTAAACTTAATATTCTTTTTTCCTAGATATCCGCTGTGACATTAAATATAATCTTTCTCCAGTTTACAAATCTATAACTGAAATGTCCTCTACCTCTAACAGTTTTGCTAGTTTTGTTCATAGACAAGCATATACTTGTACTTTCATTAGTCATCTCTTAGCTTAACAGCATTGGGAAATCTTTCAGCTTGAATGTGTTTAAAAAAAAAAAAAAACTTCCTTTTTAATTTACCCTTATCTATTCCCCATACATTTTTAGAGGCTAATAAAAAAAGTCCTAAAATTTAAACAGCTTTGGAAAGTAAACTATGCTTTGATGGGCTTTCACTTAGTATTTGATCAAAGAATAATTTACCAACTAGGAAAAAATATTTTTTAATTGTCATAATGACAAAATATAAGAATAAAGGCTTTGTGATTTGGGAAAGTCACTTAACCTCTCTGAAGCCTTGTTTTCCTTATAAATAAAATGAAGATAGTAATAATAAGTACTTTATGAAGTAATTTTAAGGATTAACAAGGTAATACATGGAAAACCCATAGCAAAGTGCCCAAAACATAAGATCTGGAAATTGATAGTTATTAAGAAAAAAAAATCAAGAGAGGAATTTCAGTAGAGTGTTCAACAGTGTCCAAGTTGTCTCGTAGAGATCAAGTAAAGCATGAACTACACAGAGTGAGAACTCAACATGCAAGCTTTTCTGCCAGAATGTAATATATGTGTACCTGAAAAACCACTCATTCTGCAAAATTACACAGTAAAAATAACAGGCTTAAGGGAGAAAAAATTAAGCTTTGGGCAATATATTCAAAATCGACTCAGTTTCTCCCATTCTGTAGCAATTTACCCATCTGACAAAGGGCTGATATCCAGAATCTACACAGAACTTAAACAAAATTTACAAGAAAAAAAAAAACCCATTAAAAAGTGGCCGAAGGATATGAACAGACACTTCTCAAAAGAAGACATTTATGCGGTCAACAGACATATGAAAAAAAGCTTATCATCACTGGCCATTACAGAAATACAAATCAAAACCACAATGAGATACTATCTCATGCCAGTTAGAATGGTGATCATTAAAAAGTCAGGAAACAACAGATGCTGGAGTGGATGTGGAGAAATAGGAACGCTTTTACACTGTTGGTGGGAGTGTAAATTAGTTCAATCATTGTGGAAGACAGTGTGGTGATTCCTCAAGGATCTAGAACCAGAAATACCATTTGACCCAGCAATCCCATTACTGGGTATATACCCAAAGTATTCTAAATCATTCTACTATAAAGACATATGCACATGTATGTTTATTGCAGCTCTATTTACAATAGCAAAGACTTGGAACCAACCGAAATGCCCATCAATGATAGACTGGATAAAGAAAATGTGGCACATATACACCATGGAATACTATGCAGCCATAAAAAAAGGATGAGTTCATATCCTTTGCAGGGATATGGATGAAGCTGAAAACCATCATTCTCAGCAAGCTAACACAAGAACAGAAAACCAAACATTGCATGTTCTCACTCATAAGTGGGAGCTGAACAATGAGAACACATGGACACAGGGATGGAAACATCACACACCGGGGCCTGTCAGTGGGTGAGGAGCAAGAGGAGGGATACCATTAGGAGAAATACCTAATATAGATGACAAGTTGATGGGTGCAGCACACCACCGTGGCACTTGTATACATATGTAACAAACCTGCACGTTCTGTACATGTATCTCAGAACTTAAAAGATAATAAAAAAAAACTATGCAGTTTTGTTTTTGTTGCTATGATTTCTAGTTACAATCCTAATAAAAATACTATCTCCATTAAATCTCCAAGAACACGTTCACCCAGCATCAAAGATCATTTTGATCAAATTATTCCGTGTGTACAATATACATAATGTTTTTTGTTGGTAGTAAAGTATCATATGGCATCTAACTGACTTGATTCAACAAATCTGCATAAAGATTTGAAAGAATAGTTTTGCTATATTTTAATTGTCACCTTATGTCAATGCTAAAACAGCAAGTTAATACTTACAAATGATGTGCATAATTTTGTTGGGTCACATTCTCATCTCATTTTATTTCAGCTGCTGTAAGTAAAGATGATTCCATTATTTCAAGTCTTGATGTCACTGATATTGCACCAAGTAGAAAAAGGAGACAGCGAATGCAAAGAAATCTTGGGACAGAACCTAAAATGGCTCCTCAGGAGAATCAGCTTCAAGAAAAGGAAAAGTAAGTCATTTTATTCTTTGCCAAGAAGTGAGATGACATTTTTGAAAATCTAGCATATGATCTTAAAAATTATGTTTTCATTTTGAACGTTTTTAAAGTTATTTTTAAGAAAATGTCATTTTGGAATTGTAAAATGTTTGAATCAATGTATTGTTTCAGTATTTGGTTAATTTCTATTAATATTTAAAGCTGAAATGCTGAGAACGTAAGCAAAAATTTTTTTCTCATGGTTTTTATAGATTAATTAGAAATGGCATGTAGGATACAAAAAATATTGGAATCCAACTAGTGTTCAGTAAAGTGTTTCAATCTAATTTACTGCTTGAAAGAGACCCGTATGGCATTCAAATTAGCCATTTAATTTGGTTATGCTTGGCATTTTTTTTCAAGTAAAATGTCTCCTTCTCATCATCTGTTTATTTCTATCAAGTTTTGGCATTGTGTACTTTATTTTCACTGTTTTCACTCTTTGGTTCTGATTACCCTGCATCAGTCTGTATTTCAATTTAGGTGTGATGAGTTGCGAAGTTGAAACACTTAATATTTCGTTACAGCAAAACAATGAGCATTTATAAAGAATATTATCAGTTTAATCCAAAATGAATGTTCAAATCATTTGTATCTTTGGGTATGTGTATGTATGCTCTGAAAATTTATTTTTTCTAAAGTTTTTGTTAATTCAGTAAATAGTTATTGAATGATGATGCTGTGGCAGATGATTTTATAGTTCAGTGATTTTCACAGGATGGAATGAGGGTACCTGGGGTTTTCCAATGGCCCTTTGTAGGGGTCCATAAGGTCGTCCCTTCTTAAATTCCATACCTGTGTGAGGCTGGATTTTCTTATATCCTTCAATTAAAATAACATTTCACTGCTGATTGAATGCAGAAGCTGGTGAAAATCCAACTGTTTTCAATCAAACCAGCTATCAAACAGGTTTGAAAAGTATAAAACAATGCCCTCATAACATTTTTTTCTGGAAAATACGTTTCATAAAGAATATATCATTCATATTATCATATACTGGATTTGTGTTATTTTTAAATGAATTAATGAATCTGTTTAAATTTTCTCAGGTTTAATTTTCAATATGGCAAATAGTCTACATAAACTAAAATGTGGAGTCAAAACTCTTGAGACCCTCAAAAATTTTTTAAAGTATAAAGTATTCCTGAGAGCAAAAAGCTTTAAAATTCTGTTATAGACAATAAGGATGCAAAGAAGCACAATTCATGCCATCAGGAAACTGGCAGCCTAGTGGGAACATGTTTTAGTTTCTAGCGTATAAACATTGTATAGTGGGATTATTTTGTCTATCATTGTGTTTTTGTTCTCTCCACGATTGGCCTGATCTACATATACTTAAAAATGCTATCTCCATACTATGCTGTATCCCTAATGTCTTCAGACAATATATGCAAAAACCCATTGTGCACTAAATTCTTTCCGGTTTGTGTTTATCATTTGAATTTATTCGTAGCTTATAACCCCTTGATAGAGCTCATAGAGTTCAAGGCATAGTGTGATCTCTTTTATACGGTGAACCAAAAATATTTTCAATTTACAGACATTGAAATAGCCAAACTATGGGAAAGAATAAAATTATAAGCAGTTTAAAACGTTCCAGAAACTAAGTACTTCATTCAGTCAATTAGTAGACAAGTGAGTAATGAGTTGAAATTGAATTATGTGCCAGGCATAATGTTGATCATGCTGAGGATCCCAGAAAGTAGAAAATAGACACAGCTCCTGTCCTCATGGAACTTTCAGTCCAATTGTTTTGTCTGATAATGACTTAATGGTTTGCGGGAAGAAGGAAATATTGGTTTTATGTTGGAGAGCTGCATCTTAGGTCTTTTCACTCTATGTGTGAACCAAAGGTAAGGTTTTAGGTTGCTAACATTTTCTGAGTACACTGTGTTGCTTAAGCAGGTTTCTGATATGCATGATACAGAGATGAAAGAAGTTTAGCTCTGAATCAAGACTAAATATTTTTATTTAGCTTTTTAATAAAGATAATGTGTTTGTTTCTCCAAACATACAGACAATTAATATTATGTTCCTTTTCTTTTCCATGTTTAGGTAATCATGTCAATGTTTATGTTATATATTTTCACCATTTTAAAAGTTGACAAAGTTGATGTAAACCATATCAGCTTTGGTAACGGTCTGCTAATTATATCATTGTAGGCCCTTTAGGCAGACTGCCCCTAAGTAGAAATGAAAACACCTGTTAGATGTCAGTGAGCATTTTAAATATTAAGAGAAATTTAGCATGTATCAGTCAGATGTTGAGTGGTTGATACCCTACTGTATAATGCCTCCTCTTTTGCTCAAATAAAACAAAATGTTAAATTATGTATTTTTTTCTTATTTTTTTATACTATAGGATTTTTTTTGCATTTTGAATACAGGAGACTGAAATTTTATGGCTCTTAAAAATTTTAAATACTAGTTGTACTTTCCCAATATTTTTAATGAAAAAAAGAAGCTTCTATAAAACAAAAGCAAAAATAAGCCTTAGCTCTTAAAAAACCTCAGAGTAAGACGTTCTCAATTACTAATGGCTAGCCCTTATTTTAAGTTTTAAAATTAAAACTGCTACCTATTTTCCTCCCTTCCTGAAGCATGATTTTTTTCTCTGACAGCTTGTCATCAAAAACATAAACATCAATTAGGTCATGTACCCTATCTGTAGACTCACAAATAAACGCAGATATGGTTAGTTTGCTACTTACGGGTGAAAATACATCAGTCCCTACCTCTAAACTTAAGTTTCCTAGGCCCTTCTGATTGCATGACCTTCAGTCCCTTCCAACATTCCCACCAGACATCTTACATGTGATTCCACTATTTAGCTTCTCTATCTCTGCAACTCAAGAAAAAAGAAACAAAAGTAGGGGAAGGAGTGGTCATAAGTACTATGGCTTAATTTTTTTTTTTTTTTTGTCTACAAGACTTTGTGCAAGTCATTTTACCTTTCCAAGTTTCAGTTTTCTCATCTAAAAATGAAAGGATTATACTAGATGATCTGTAAGATCCCTCTCAATATTTATAGATCTATTGTATATTTAACTCTTCACCACTTTCAAAACATGAATATGATTTAGCAATAAAATACTTCCACATTTATTAGCTATTATTGATTAAAATTCATGAAGCAATTAAAAATATGAAATATCCATGAGAAAAGTATTCATTTTTTAAATTTAACTGTTTATAGGTATTTTACAATGTAACATATTAAGTACTTTATAAATACCACAGGGTTATTTTGCATTCTGAGAAAAACTAAATACTTATCTATAAAACAAAATCATAATAATTTTTAAATTTAGTTGAACATTTATTGCAACCCTAAGTCATTGTTATAGTGACAAGGTATAGAAGGAGAGAGAGATATAAAAATAAATCAGAATTTTGATAAGTGCTTTATATGTTATCTCTCATTTAAATCTCACACAAACCCTACAAGATAGGTATTAATTTATCCTTCTTACAGATGAAAAGCAACCAAGGCTCATAAAGATATAGTTCTTTTGCCAGAGCAGCACAGCCGGTGTTTTATTCCAGAGTTTGTGCCTGGTTACTTCCTCAACTGGGTTTATAATCTTTTGAGAGACAAAGATATACACAAATAGTTTTGTGCAGAGCGAAGGGAGTACATCGGTCATAAAGTTCTAAATTGAAATATTTGGAATTGTGTTCCAGATTTGTGAGTGCACTATTATATGTGGGAATGGATTTGGGGCATTTTATTTTATCTGAGAACCACTTTTTTGGGGGGTGGGGAAGCTTTCCTTTTATTTTGACTCAATATACAGAGAGAAATGACTTCAGTTAATACCTGAAATACTCTGCAAAGCTTTTAGAGACTTCAGAACAAATATAAATCACTGTAAAAGGAATACAGATATAAAATAAATATAAATTATTAAATTCACAGAGCTTTATAATGAATTGTTTTATTAATCTTGTAAACTTTCAAAGTATCTAGACAAACTGTCTTTCAAATATAAAAGAAAATTTGTTGTAAAGTTGCTTTTACCAATAAAAATACTAAATAGTATTTCAAGTGAATACTGGATGCCAAAACAACACACACACCTTAGAGTGAGTTTTTTATTTAATTAGCTAGGACTACACAATCTTATCACAGTCTTTTTTTTTTTTTTTTTTTTATACTTTAAGTTTCTGGGTACATGTGCACATTGTGCAGGTTAGTTACATATGTATACATGTGCCATGCTGGTGCGCTGCACCCACTAACTCGTCATCTAGCATTAGGTATATCTCCCGATGCTATCCCTCCCCCCCTCCCCCCACCCCACCACAGTCCCCAGAGTGTAGTATTCCCCTTCCTGTGTCCATGTGATCTCATTGTTCAACTCCCACCTATGAGTGAGAATATGCGGTGTTTGGTTTTTTGTTCTTGCGATAGTTTACTGAGAATGATGATTTCCAATTTCATCCATGTCCCTACAAAGGACATGAACTCATCATTTTTTATGGCTGCATAGTA
This sequence comes from Homo sapiens, assembly GCF_000001405.40. Lineage (NCBI taxonomy): Eukaryota > Metazoa > Chordata > Mammalia > Primates > Hominidae > Homo > Homo sapiens. The sequence continues at coordinate 83,263,200 of NC_000005.10, forward strand.
TTCCATGGTGTATATGTGCCACATTTTCTTAATCCAGACTATCATTGTTGGACATTTGGGTTGGTTCCAAGTCTTTGCTATTGTGAACAATGCCGCAGTAAACATACATGTGCATGTGTCTTTATAGCAGCATGATTTATAGTCCTTTGGGTATATACCCAGTAATGGGATGGCTGGGTCAAATGGTATTTCCAGTTCTAGATCCCTGAGGAATCTCCACACTGACTTCCACAATGGTTGAACTAGTTTACAGTCCCACCAACAGTGTAAAAGTGTTCCTATTTCTCCACATCCTCTCCAGCACCTGTTGTTTCCTGACTTTTGAATGATTGCCATTCTAACTGGTGTGAGATGGTATCTCATTGTGGTTTTGATTTGCATTTCTCTGATGGCCAGTGATGATGAGCATTTTTTCACGTGTTTTTTGGCTGCATAAATGTCTTCTTTTGAGAAGTGTCTGTTCATGTCCTTCGCCCACTTTTTGATGGGGTTGTTTGTTTTTTTCTTGTAAATTTGTTTGAGTTCATTGTAGATTCTAGATATTAGCCCTTTGTCAGATGAGTAGGTTGCGAAAATTTTCTCCCATTTTGTAGGTTGCCTGTTCACTCTGATGGTAGTTTCTTTTGCTGTGCAGAAGCTCTTTAGTTTAATTAGATCCCATTTGTCAATTTTGGCTTTTGTTGCCATTGCTTTTGGTGTTTTAGACATGAAGTCCTTGCCCATGCCTATGTCCTGAATGGTAATGCCTAGGTTTTCTTCTAGGGTTTTTATGGTTTTAGGTCTAACGTTCTTATCACAGTCTTGTGGCTACAAGGTGCAGAAAAAGATGTAGCGTATTTCAGCCCAGTATTTCCCCACCTCCATAGAGTGCAGTGCCACTGATAGAGTTTGTATAAGGTATTGTCTTCCTGAACCTACAAAAGCTCAATTCTTTATTTTGTTATGCCGGATGCTTACAGTATTATCCTTGAAGAAATTGCACAATCCATGCACTTTTGTTTTGAGAAGTTATTATAAGCATCAGAATTTTTGTAGCTTCCAAACCAAAGTGACTATATCTATTAAAGCTTTTCAGGGTCCTAAAGAGCTCATTTCCCCACAGTAACCCAGTTGCAGTCACATAGAGTTTAGGCAATATTCACTCTTAATAAAGATTCTTCTTTTTAATGGAGTTTTGAAGAAAGTTATTTGTTTGCTTTCTGATATCTTCTTCCTATGTTTTTATTATTAATGTTATGAATTATAAAAATTAAAACAGTGAGGGGGTCAGAGTCTGGTATTAATTCATTTATTTTTTAATAAAATGAACTTTATTTTATTTGTTTCCCAATTATAAAAGCAGTTCATGCTCATTCCAGAAAAATCAGAAAACCCACAGAAACAAAAGAATGAGCATATGGGAAACTCGTAATCCCACCCACCTGGAGATGACCACCGTTGAGACCTGGTACTCTGTGTCGTTGCAGATCCCTCTCTCTTCCACACTTCATTGACAAAACTAGGCTCACACCAGTTATGCTGTAACCCACAACTTTTTTTTTCTTCCATTTAGCAATCAATATGGTGTAATATGGGAGGAAAATAATATCTTTGGAAGACTATGTTTTAAAAGCAGTTGATTAATTTGAGATATGTAATACTTTATATATAGAGAGAGTTATACATGGAATTACACATATATTACACATACATGTATGTATGTTTTGCCAGAATTTCTCCAGGAAGGCTATAACAATTTGTACCCTCACAACAGTGTTTGCCTTTTGAGTTTTTTGTTGTTGTTGTTTACCAATTCATTTTAGAAATACATATATAGAGAGAAGGAGATGAAATTGCATGTGCCAACTTAAAATGAGGTAGTTGACCATTCCATCTTTTCAAAAAGAATTTATTTTCATACCTTGATTCTTAAAAATTGCTAGCAATGTATTCAAAGTTTAAATCTCAAAGTATTTGAAAATTATGTTTTTTAAATTTAGATGGATAATATAATCATCAAATTCAAATATCCAATTTTTGTAGATTTTTGGTACCTGAACTATAGACTTTTTAAATGTCAAATTAGGTACATAAAATGAATGTTCAATTGCTATATATTTACTCTGGTCATCATGAGCAAACCTCATTTTTTACACAACTTTAATTTTATCATAATGTTTATCTTAGTTGCAAAAGTAAACATGGTGGTGGTTTTAAAACGAGATAGGTTTTTATTAGCTTCACTCTATGTTTACCTAACTGGTCAGGCTGCGGCTCTCACTTTGCTTGCTGCATATTTTGATTAATGGCCCCTTGGCCTTGTTCCAGAGTATACTGATTATGGTCAGTGCACTTCAAAGATGATTTATTAATTGTGTTTGTGACCCAAAATAATTCAATAAAGATTGATCATATGCATTATTATAGATTTGCCAATAAAATCAACAGTTACACTTTAAGAGTATGTTTGCCTGAATAGATTTTTTAAGTATACAAAAAGGACAAAAACTTTTTTTTAATGTATTCTGTATTAAACACAGATTTATGACCTTTTAAAGCATGATTATTAAATGTATCATAGGATTGGTCTTGTAAGTGCATGAATTGTAAGTTCTACTTTAACATAATTTCAAGATAATATGTTTCATTGGAGCTTACATAGGTGTTTTAATAAATATTTCGATGTTTATAACACCCTGGGAACAACCCTTACTACAATTCCCCTAGGCTATTACGTACATTTAAATTTTAAATTACTGACAGACTCAGATGTCTGTTTTTAAAAAAAATGTTTATAGGAGACTTTTATAATCTTTCTGAGTTTTAAGTAAAGGGGATTTATCGTATGTTTCCTATATGTTATACTCTTGTCATTTGAAAGACTTTGATATGTACAATTTCTCTAAATTTGGCTTGATAATAGTTATTGTTTCAGGCATTTTAAGCACTCTACCAACATAGAATAATGTGTAAATATTCACTATACATGGCCGGCAAAGTTATTAATCAAAGGAAATGACTCCCCGCTCATAATTTATGGTTCAGTATTAAAGGAAAAATAGGAGGTATATATTTTTTGGTATACTGTATCCAAAATTTACACTGTAACAGTGAAATTCTGTAACTTAAATCATCTAGTATGATGTGTTACTCAATGTAAAGTAAGTATTTGGTCCGTAGTAAAAATTATGAAATAAAATAAAATATTTTACCCACTAGAAATATAGACTGTTTCATGTTATCTGAAAAGTATAAACTAATTATGCCAAAATAAGAAGATATGAACCCCCAAAGTAACAGATGTCAGCAAATGGAAGAAAGAAATCAGATATGAGAATAAAAGATAAACCTAAGAAATTAAAAATATATAATGATCCATTAGTATTATTCAAGGACTTTGCTTGTTTTTGGAAAATTGTTACTAAAGGACAAAAGCACAAACATGCTTTATTTAAACATCATTATTCAAAAATACTTTTAGTAAAATTTTAGGACATAGTATTTTGTTTAATTGAAAATCTTTTACAATAACTTTGTTTCTAAACAATTTCTAAAACTTATTTCTCTAGATCAAATATGTATATGTTACTTTGTAAAATGTTATTTTTGTAGTAAATGAAGATAAATTATCAGTGTATTGGATAAAGCAGTGTTATCATTACCACCATTATTGAATGTTTACTCCTGTATAAATCACTTCTAGAAATACAGAATAAGAAGTTGATACAGCCTCTATCTTTGTCTTTGTGTATGAATAGAACAATGAAGGAGGAGTAATGAATAGCACACATACGTTGTTTGCTTTTGGGCCACATTACATTTTCTGACAAACTATCTTTAATATGTATATGGCTAACTATAATATGTCTAGATTGTGCCAAATTCCATAGTAGGTATGAAAGCTATGAAATTTCAGAGGAAAGAGAGTTGCTAATCCTTTTGGAGCTATATGGAATAAGGAGATAGGATAAAATCAGAGAAGACTGACCAGGAGGAAGTGTTCTTTGAGTCTGGCTTTGGAGATGAATGTTGTTTCTAAAGGTGTAAACACCTGAGGAGGTGTAACTGGAGTTTGGCTTTGAAGATGAATGTTATTTCTAAAGGTATAAACTGAAAGAAAGAGAGTTCTAATTGAACCCCATCCACAGCATCCCCTTATTTCCTTTAGTAACAGAACTCCTTTCCACCACCTGCTCTATCCACAGGGTTTAACAGTGCATGTGCCTATCAACCTAGAGGCTACAATTCCCAGCCTCACTAGCAGTGATGGGTGGCCATGTGACAAAGCCATTGCTAATGAGATATAAATGGAAATGATATGGGCAATTTGGGGATCTTGCCCATAAAACGATTGGGCATACATTCCTATGTCTCTTTCTTCCTTCTCAGCCATTTAACATTTAAGGAAACCATGGTAGGAGATGGGAAAGCAAGATAGGAGGAATCATGGTCCCTGGACAGTCTCAGGGAGCAGGGCAGCATACCCACAATGGACCACCCAGCTACCTCTGGACTGTCGTGTGAGAAAAATAAATGTCTAGCTTGATTGAAGCCATGGTGGTGGTTTGTTTTTGTTTTGTTCTCTTTGTTAGAGAAATCTGGGATAGTCCCTTACTAAAAAGAAGGGCTATCCTATCAGGGGAACAGATTGTATAAAACAAACGCATGGAGAAAGTCTGAAAGATTGAGGACAAATGCCTGTATCATTGAGGTGCTTAGAAATATGAATAAAGCTGGCAAGGTAGGCAGAACGTAGAGCACAAAGAGACTTATTTATTTGGACTTCTTTTATGAATGCTACAAGAACTGTTAAAAGGTTTTGAACCAAATAATGGCATAATGAACAGAGCTTTACAAAAATTTTCCTGGAAACCATATATTGGATGGAAGGAAAGTTTACGGGTTGGCAGTGAAGATAGGAAGATACTCTAGTAGTAATCCAGGAAGAGTTACCTGAAGAATAGTGACTGTAATTGGTGTAATAGTGAATGTGATTGGAAGGAACAGCAGGGATGAATTGAGAAACATTCGAGGTTGCTATCCTCTTACTACCAGAGATCTGGGAAGCCTCATCAGTTATTGAAAGCTATTTGGTAAACTTAGTCTTTACCAAAATAAATCATCTATCTTACTTTAGAAATCAACCTACCACAAAAGATGGATAAACAAAACAAGTCATGGGGATTGACTTCTCAAAAGACTGGAAAAGCTCCCTTTTCCATGCTGCTATATTTATCTACTCAAATATATATATTGTGATGCATTGATATTATATCATTTTACATCATTTCATTTATTTCATTTTTGAACTTAATTGCACCTATAAGTAATTTATCAGCAAGCTTTCTTCAAATTGTGCTCTAAGAAGGGTTACTCAGGAAGGTGTATTGTAGCCTCTGAAAACCTTCCTTGTCATAGAGGTTCTTGTTTGCTCCAACCACAGGAAATATTTCCTCTGGACATGTGTTTTGATTGTGATCTGAAGGCATGGGGTTTCTCTTACTTGGGGTTATATGACATTCTCCTTATGGAATACGGAGAAAATCAGCTTTTTCACTGACACATTCTGTTATGGATGTAGTGCTGATTTTAAAGAGTATTTGCCCTAGGACCATGATATATGATGTTCTAGAAATTTCCCAACTTTAGAGAATAAGATATGAATTGAACAAATCAATTTAGCAAACCAATGAAGTAATGAGATATTAATACAAAACCAAATGGACCTATATATCCCATTTCAAGGAAATCATGAAAATGATAATTTTCTATTGAAGTTTATCTTGGGTTAAGCAATAAATGGCACCATATAAAACAGGAACTGTTGGAGAGCATTTTATCTGTTCTCAACTGCTATGTGGGCAAATAAGGCAGATGAAAATCTCAGTGTTCTCACTGAATAATAAGATGGTCTTTCGGGTCTCAAGTATATTTTTGGAGTCTTCCATCTAAGCTGTCAGGAACATACACCAATAACTTCCAGAAGAGGAAAACAAACCCATCATAGGACTGAAAATTTGGCATTACATATTATCCTTAGACAATGGTTATAGGCCTCTGCCTTTTATCTCCACCTTAATATAGTAATGATGTACCTACTGTGTGCCAAGCACTGTGTCCTATGCTGGGACTATAGCACCAAACGAAAGAGACCAGGTGCTTTCCCTCAAGGAGGATAGGATGTAATTTCAGAAACACACCAATAAATAATTACAGTACAATGTGATAATGAGGCCAATTGGTGTAATAGTTCCAAGTACATCTAGAATGCCCAATTAAAATGAATAGTAGAGGGAGGCACAAATAACAAAGAAAAAATTTGCTACTCTTTCTCATTAACCAAGGATGGATGCACAGATAAGTAACTCTAGGTGAGAAAATATATTACATTTGATAGAGTTCAAAAAATAACCTGAAATTGGGAATTCAGTAAAAATAGACAGTTACAAAAAAGAAAATATTATACACTAGCATAACCTAACACATAGTAGATATTCAATAATTACCAAGTAAATGAAGTAATAAATAGGCCTTTTGTATAATACGGGAAAGAAAATATTTAGTAGATCTAACCCAGCGGAATCTTCCCCTTTTTGGAAAATGGTACTACATCTGTACCAGAGGTCCCCAACCTTTTTGGCACCAGGGACTGGTTTTGTGGAAGACAATTTTTCCATGGACCTGGGGTGGGTGGGGGGATGGTTTGGGGGTGATTCAAGCACATTACATTTATTGTGCACTTTATTTCTTTAATTATTACATTGTAATATATAATGAAATAATTATACAACTCACCATAATGTAGAATCAGTGGGAGCCCTGAGCTTGTTTTCCTCACCTCACAAATGGTCCCATTTGGGGGTGATGGGAGACAGTGACGGATTAGCAGGCATTAGATTCTCATAAGGAGCACACAACCTAGATGCCTCGCATGCACAGTTCACAATAGGATTTGTGCTCCTGTGAGAATCTAATGCTGCTGCTGATCTGACAGGAGGTGGAGCTCAGGTGGTAATGTGAGTGATGGGAGGCGGCTGTAAATACAGATGAAGCTTACTTACTCACCCACCACTCACCTACTGCCTTTCAGCCCACTTCCTATTAGGCCATGGACCAGAGGTTGGGGACCACTGGTCTATACAGCAACTAAAGCCTTAAATTTAAGAGTTATCTTTAGCTTCTTCTTTTCTCTCATGCCTAGCTCTACTCCATTTGTCAGTCTCATACTTCATGCTTCTAAAATATCTTAGAATTTAATCTCATGCTTTCTACTTCTGCTGCCACTAACCTAGTCTAAGCCATAATCCTTTTGCATGCATGACTGCAGCCTACTCCCTTTTTTTCCCATTTCCACTTCTCTGACCTCTAAACTGTTTTCCACATAGTGAACTTCTGAAAACACAAATTGGATTATATCTTTATACTTCTCCGCATGTCTCCAGACTTTCCATCCCTTTCCTAGAGTATTCCAGTGCCTTCCCATTGTACTTAGTCTAAACTCATTACCATAGGTTACATGCTCTGAATGACCTTGCCCCTGCATCATCCTGAAACAAATTGTGGGATTTATTCATTTTTTCGAAAAAAAAAATATATACATATATATATGTATATATTTTTTTTTTGAGACAGAGTCTCACTCTGTCACCCAGGCTGGAATGCAGTGGCAAGAGCTCAGCTCACTGCAATCTCTGCCTCCTGGGTTCAAGCGATTCTCCTGCCTCAGCCTCCTAAGTAGCTAGGATCATAGGCGCCCGCCACCATGCCCAGCTAATTTTTGTATTTTTAGTAAAGATGGGGTTTTGCCATGTATAGGAAGACAGAAGGGGTTTTATTTAGCCCATTTAATCAACTACTAACTAAAATGCATTCCTGGATTGTCTTTCACAGGCACCATGAACCTGATTGAAGTTTTCTGTTGGTTGAAGTTACCTGAAATTTTGAAAATTCTTATTTCTCTTGACATTTATATTATTTTACTTAATTGCTTACTGCCTTTGGCATTTTTTGAAACTTGAAAATTATTGTAATCCTGTCCTACATTTGAAATAATTTATAATGATAAGGAATTGAATCCAGCAACTCATTCATTCTGAATGTTTGGAATATCATAGATTATTATGTACTCTAAGAATCCTAAATTTATTACTAATTATACGCCCATTTGAATTACAAGCAATAAGGGAAATAATAATGTCAATCTAAAATAGCATAAAGTCATTCTTATTTTTGTGTTTTATTTTGTCTACTTGTTCCACAAAAGTATTGTTATAATATTGGGATGGAATTTATTAATTATCTAATCCAAAATAATAATACATGGCATGTAACCATTATATAAATGCTTTGTGGGACAGTAAGACATATTACTTTAAATGAAACCCTATTTTACCTGGTAATGTCTACTCTTTGACCACAGTTTTGCCTTCTGTATTATATCAGATAAATCTTCTACATTAAATTTACTAATATAAAATAGAGTCATGTTGAGTACATAAAATTTATGCAAATGCATCATATTCTCTCTATTCCCCTCTCCTACATAAAAAGTGGGAGGGAAGAGAGAGAGAGAAAAGGGAACAATTTAAATAGTGCTGGGCATTCTAGTCCAGCATATGCCCAGGAGTGAAAATGAAATGGGAAACATATATCTCCTTTCCCTAGCTGTTTGAGTTCCCGCTATCTTTCTATTATGTGAGCACTGCATTTAAAGATAAACCTTTACATGCAACTAAACACAAGGCAACCATGTAACATTTTCTAGTGCTTCATGGAAAACAAATAGCCATAAATCCTAAAATAGGAGGAAACCTGTTGATCCTGGGGTGCTGGACCAATTGAAATTTGTGTAACATGCTGGACTATGGTATTTTCCTAAGGATTTTTCAGGATAATTTGATTTTCACAGTAAGACCTACAATTAAAACTCTATCACTAAATTAGATATAATTCTATTTAACTCGAAGACCATTTTATACTCCGGAGTTTTTCTTCTGCAAGCTAAAAGAGCCTAAGTTTTTAACATTATTGTGTATAATATTGTTGTCACATATCAGTCTCTTATTTGGATTTGCTTTTCACTGAATGCATTTAATTTTCCAGTGTTCCATTAAAGTCATACCCCCCCAAACCCTGTTTATATCTCAGACATGGTGTGGTCTTTACAGAGAATAATGGGATACTACACTTCTGTTAGTGTGGGGTGTTCCCTTGTTGTTACACCTTTTTATTATTATTATGTATTATACTTTAAGTTCTGGGGTACATGTGCGGAACATGCAGGTTTGTTACATAGGTACGTATACATGTGCCATGGTGGTTTGTCACACTCATCAACCCATCATCTAGGTGTTACGCCCCGTATGCATTAGGTATTTGTCCTAATGCTTTCCCTCTTCTTTCCCCCCACCCCACGACAGGCCACAGTATGTGATGTTCCCCTCCCTGTGTTTATGTGTTCTCATTGCTTAACTCCCACTTATGAGTCAGAACATGCAGTGTTTGGTTTTCTGTTCCTGTTAGTTTGCTGAAAATGATAGTGTCCAACTTCATCCATGTCCCTGCAAATGGCATTAACTCCTTAATTTTTATGACTGCATAGTATTCCATGGTGTATATGTGCCACATTTTCTTTATCCAGTCTGTCATTGATGGGCATTTGGGTTGGTTCCAAGTCTTTGCTATTGTAAATAGAGTTGCAATAAACATAAGTGTGCATGTGTCTTTATAGTAGAATGATTTTTAATCCTTTGGGGATATACCCAGTAATGAGATTGCTGGGTCAAATGGTATTTCTGGTTCTAGATCCTTGAGGAATCACCACACTGTCTTCCACAATGGTTGAACTAATTTACACTCCCACCAACAGTGTCAAAGCATTCCTATTCCTCCACATACTCTCCAACATCTATTGTTTCCTGACTTTAATGATCACCATTCTTACTGGAGTGAGATAGTATCTCATTGTGGTTTTCATTTGCATTTCTCTAATGGCCAGTGATGATAAACTTTTTTTCATATGTCTGTTGGCTGCATAAATGTCTTCTTTTGAGAAGTGTCTGTTCATATCCTTTGCCTACTTTTTGATGGGGTTGTTTTATTCTTGTAAATTTGTTTAAGTTCCTTGTAGATTCTGGATATTAGACCTTTGTCAGATGGATAGATTGCAAAAATTTTCTCCCATTCTGTAGGTTGCCTGTTCACTCTGATGATAGTTTCTTTTGCCGTGCAGAAGCTCTTTAGTTTAATTAGATCCCATTCGTTAATTTTGGCTTTTGTTGCAATTGCTTTTGGTGTTTTAGTCATGAAGTCTTTGCCTATGTCCTGAATGGTATTGCCTAGGTTTTCTTCTAGGGTTTTTATAGTTTTAGGTTTTACGTTTAAGTCTTTTAATCCATCTTGAGTTGATTTTTGTATAAGGTGTAAGGAAGGGATCTAGTTTCAGTTTTCTGCATATGGCTACCCAGTTTTCCCAGCACCATTTATTAAATAGGGAATCCTTTCCCCCTCACTTGTTTCTGTCAAGTTTGTCACAGATTGGATGCTTGTAGATGTGTGGTGTTATTTCTGAGGCCTCTGTTCTGTTGCATTGGTCTATATATCTGTTTTGGTGCCAGTACCATGCTGTTTTGGTTACTGTAGCCTTGTAGTATAGTTTGCAGTCAGGTAGCATGGTGCCACTAGCCTTGTTCTTTTTGCTTAGTATTGTCTTGGCTATATGGGCTCTTTTTTTTTTGTTCCGTGTGGCCGTTACACCTTTTATTCCTGAGTTATCACTACTTTTCTAGTTGTAGATACTGCTGCTCCTGTGTCTGGGCTCACCACTATGTGAGCAAGCTACTTAATGAGTCTACACCTCAATATTATAATTTCTAAAATGGGAATAGCAATACCTACCTCGTTAAAATTAAAGACATGACAATTATATTATGCCAGGCACATGATAAGTGTTCAGTATTGGTAAATGCCCCAACTCTTGCTCATGTTCATTCTGTTTTCCCTTTCCAGTACTCAACTGTCTAGGTTTGAATGTAAACTGTCTTCCAAGTCAGGTTAATTACTTGTGGAAAAATTACACTACAAAAGCATTTGTCTTTGTTATGTTTAATAATTTATAATCTAATTTTTATCATCTGAAATTCCAGAATAATTACAAATTATCAAGTGTTGTGTTATGTAACTTTTGTACCTTCCCTGCTCATGCCATGTACTTTGTGTATTTTGAAATCATAAGCATCTTTTCAACAAATATTTGCTGAGTACCTAATGTGAGCCAGACAGTGACTTAGGCACAGAGGATAGAAGACATGGTGGGGAGCAAAACAGCTGAGATTATGTTTTAGTGGTGTGAAACAAGTGAAAAAGAATAAATAAACATGGACACATTGTAAAATAATAAAGAAATATGCAGATAATTAAGGTGATGCAAAAGATAGTGATGAGGTGGTTCCTTTTTATATAGAATGGTCAGGAAATTGGCATTTAAGCTGAGCCTAAATGACAAGCAGACATCCTGCAAAGATTGAAAGAAAGGTAATGCAAAGGCCCTCAGGTGAGCAAATCCATTGTATTGAAGGAGTAGAAATGTGTACCATGTAGGGGAATGAGAGGGAGTGGTCTGTGATGTATGTATCAGTGAAATAAGCTTTGAGGGCCAATGGTCTTTAAATTTTATTCAAAGTATAATGGTAAATTTTAAGGGCAATGACATGGACTGATGTTGTTTTTAAAAGATTGCTATTATAAGTATGTGGAAAATGGATTTGGAAGTAAGGAGTTATCACTGTGTGGAAAATGGATTTGGAAGTAGGGAGCTTGTGATAACAGACAGATCAGTTAGGAGGTTTTAACAGTAGTCCAAGTGGAAGTTGGTCTTAGAGTAGGCTAATAGAGGACCTAGTGAAGAATTCTTAGGTCATGCATATGTTTTAGCAGTAAAGTTCCCAAGACTTGCTAGTAGGTTTGATTTAGAATAAGGGAGAGAGAGGAATCAGGAGGATTCCTATATTTTAGCTTGAAAAACTGGGTAAATGGTGCAGCTTTCAGACATGGGAAGAACTCAGAAAGAAACAGCTTTGCAGGTCGTGAAAATAGATGGTTCTGTTTTGGCTAGGTTAGGTTTTTTTTTTTTTTTTGAGACGGAGTCTCGCTCTGTCGCCCAGGCTGGAGTGCAGTGGCGGGATCTCGGCTCACTGCAAGCTCCGCCTCCCGGGTTCACGCCATTCTCCTGCCTCAGCCTCCCAAGTAGCTGGGACTACAGGCGCCCGCCACTACGCCCGGCTAATTTTTTTGTATTTTTAGTAGAGACGGGGTTTCACCGTTTTAGCCGGGATGGTCTCGATCTCCTGACCTCGTGATCCGCCCGCCTCGGCCTCCCAAAGTGCTGGGATTACAGGCGTGAGCCACCGCGCCCGGCCCAGGTTAGGTTTTAGAAACTTAACAGACATCACAGCAGAGATACCAAGATATATATGAATCTAGAATTCCTGCGACAAATGAGGTATGGAGATAAAGATTGGAGAGTCCTAGACATTTTGGATTTATGACCATGATCTTAAAGTGAGCACAGACAGCCTGAGTGGCTGTTTCTCTTCAGCAATGTGTGGATGGTTCCTAATGTGTAGATTTACACAGCAAATGCAATGAAAGTAAAGAAAGGGATTATTGTAGTGTCAGATTTACATGCATGATTCTTTAATGGATTGTAGCATTTGTGGAAAAATGAATACAGTTGGTATTTGAATAACTATTTTGTTGATTATACCTGGATTTGATACCCAGGTGATTCCACCCTGGGCTCTTAGCTCAATTTTAGTATGATCCCAGAACTGGATTTAAATACAGACAGTCCCTGATTTACAATGTCTTGACTTAGGATTTTTTGACTTTATGATGGTACAAAAGCAATATACATTCAGTAGAAACTCTACTTTGAATTTGAATTTTGGTCTTTTCCTGGACTAGCGATATGTGGTACAATACTTCTCAAGATGCTGAGCCAAATCATCTAACACAGAGCCTATTTTAATAATAAAGTGTTGAATAACTCATGTATTTTATTAAATACTGTACAGAAAGTGCTCTGAGCATTTCTAAGATAGGTTAGGCTAAGCTATGATGTTTGGTAGATGGTATGGTTTCAATACTTGTTTCTTCCAAAATCCATGATGAAATTTAATCCCAAATGTGTCAGTATTGAGAGGTGAGACCTTTAAGAGGTGATTGGGTTATGAGGGCTTTACCCTAATGAAGGGATTAATCCATTCATTTATGAATGGATTAATGCATTAATGGGTTATCATGGGAATGAGGCTGATGGCTTTATATGAAGAAGAAGTGGAAGAAGAGAAATCTGAGCTGGCATGCTCTGCCCCCTTGCCATGTGATGCCCTGAACAATCTCAGGATTCTACAGAGGCTTCACCCACACAAATGGTCTCTCCAGATGTGGCCCCTCAACCTTAGACTTCCCAGGATCCAGAACTTTAATAAAGAAATTCCTTTTCTGTATAAGTTACCGTTTCCTATTTAATATACCTAACCTAGTGTCTTTGTGTGTTTTCTGTTGCTTATAACAGAATCTTGTTATAATTTGTTGCTTATAACAGAATCTTGTTATAATTTGTTGCTTATGACAGAATCTTGTTATAATTTGTTGCTTATGACAGAATCTTGTTATAATTTGTTGCTTATAACAGAATCTTGTTATAATTTGTTGCTTATAACAGAATCTTGTTATAATTGTTTACTTATGAATTTTCAATTTGTGATGGTTTTATTGGGATGTAACCCATCATAAGTGAAGGAGCATCTATATATTTAGTATTGGGGGGAAGTTCTAAGAGGACATAATTTATTTATTTAAATCACACTTTATATTGAACTCATCTATCTATGTAGAATCAGTGAATCAAAAGAATTTGTTGGGAACCTTTCAAGTTGTAGATTCTGATTTCATAGTTTAGTCAGGCAGAGAAAACAAAGATATATGAAACCATAATAGAGCAATTTTTTGGGTAACTGTGACAGTCATTAGTTCTGTTCACCAAATATTTCCAGCTCTCTGCCTTCTGGGCACATGATGAAATTGCACTTCACAGCTATCGTTGAGTAAGACTATATTAGTTCTTGCCAGCAAGTTTTGATTAAAAGTGACATGTGTAACTTCTGAGCCAGAGAACTTTCTTCTGCCATAGCAACTGGCAAAGTTGGTGGCTGCCCTGTCATCCTGGATCCTGGAATAAGGAGATAGCACGGAGTGGAGCCCTCAGGCCACCCGTGATGGACATGCAACAGAATGAAAAATTAAAGCTTTGTCATTTCAATCCACTGACATGTTGGGGTATTTGTTACTGTATATAACCCGACCTATTCCAACTGATGGGTTACAGAGACATCTAAATATAGCATATTTTTAGCACCATCACACTCCTATGTCCATTTAAAAATAAGAAACTATAAAACAACATCGGTTGAAAGTTTAATATCATTACCATGAAGTGAATATTGACACCTTCACTGTAAGCAGAATAGTCAAAATAAACCATTGTTTAGCTACCTTGTTACAAATTTACAAGTTTGTAACACATTTCTAAATGTTATAATCTGGAAGTTTTGTTTTCTGTCTGTACCAATGTGATTGTCTAGTACAGAAACTTTAGGATAACTATACATTCTTTGATGATTTTGCAAAAATAATTTAATATCTTGTTTAAGAAAAATACAGCATTTTCATTTAATATCTTGTTTAATAAAGAAAACAATATCTTGTTTAATAAAAGCATTTAATATTTTGTTTAATAAAGAAAAATACATCATTTTCAAGCAGGTAGTAGGAGTAGGTTTTGTTATTTACAGAGCTATTCAACAAACGCTCTTTTATTAGCTCATCAATTTGCCAGTCAGACAAATGGAGTCAAGCTCCCATCCAGGAGGTTAGGAGAGAAAACACTCAGATTTCACATCACTTCACCCCACCTAATGACTTCACTTTCCATTTGACTTGTTGTCTGGCTCTGTTAATTATTGAACTAAAAAAATGTACTAACCAGATTGAAGCGGTAGTCTTCACTCCCACTAAATATGCAGAGATTAACCACAATGCAGATGATCTGGAAACATAAATTAATTTTGGTCATAGAATTTTTGAGGTAGAAGTATAGTAAGAAAGACTTTTCTTTACTAAATATTTAGTGGTCTCTGTCTTAGTCCATTTTTACTGCAATAATAAAACACCACAGTCTGGGTCATTTATAGATAATAGAAATTTACTTCTCACAGTTTTGAAGGCTGAGAAGTCCAAGATCAAGGTTCTGGCATTGTGTCTGATGAGGGCTTTCATGCTGCATCTTCACAAGGTTAAAAAAGACAAATGCTATGTCTTCCCATGATGGAAGGCAGCAGCGCAAAAAAGCGCCTAAACTAGTTTTCTCTAGCCCCTTTTTTAACTGTACAAAAAATAAATAAGTTAACATTATTAAGTTACTACTTCAGTCCTTATGTTGTTTTTTAAAAATAATCAGTTTGAGGCCAGGCGCAGTGGCTCATACCTGTAATCCTAGCACTTTGGGAGGCCGAGGTGGGTGGATTACCTGAGCTCAGGAGTTTGAGACCAGCCTGGGCAACATGGCGAAACCCTGTCTCTACTAAAATACAAAAGAAATTAGCTGAGCGTGGCGACGTGTGCCTATAATCCCAGGTACGTAGGGGGCTGAGGCAGGAGAATTGCTTGAACCGAGGAGGCGGAGGTTGCAGTGAGCCGAGATCGTGCCACTCCACTCCACCACTCCACTCCAGCCTGGGCGGCAGAGCAAGACTCCATCTCTACCAAAAAAAAAAAAAAAAAGATATATATATTTTATAATATATTATATATTTTTATAATATATATAATAAAATATAATATATTATAAAATATATATAATATATATTTATATCTATATCAGTTTGAAACACATTATTGAAAGTGAATACACACAATAAATTGAAAAATAGGGATGCATAGTGCTGGATACATATCAATCAACTTATCTTCATCTGTTGCCTGCTGTTGTAGACAAAATTTGACACACAATTAGCATATTGACAGAGCAGCCAGAATACATAGGAGAAAGTGGCAAACTACTAGAAATGTAGCTTAGCTCTGGATCCATCACCAAAAATAATAAAAATAAAAATAAAAAAATTCATTGTTTATCTGGGAGCTAACCGCACTATGGCACTGAATTATCTACTACTCACAAAACAATTTTTAAAATACCAAAAGTGCCAGAGAACCTTCATTAACAGTGTTTTTAAGTCAAAGTTTTTACTTTAAATATGTGATGATTACTCAAATACCCTAAGCCATTTGGCAGGCCCTATCACAATAAGTTACAAATAGTCTGAATTTAATAACTTAAATGTGATATGGTTGCTGTAATATATACTGTGTGAATATCTTAACCTCTTTCAGGTAGTTGATAATTAAAAGATTTAAATTTACAGTTTCAATTTCTGCTTAGAAGAATGATGTCAGTATTCTAGCAATAGTGATGGCATCCCATTATTGTAAATGCAGAAAATGATAATGTCTGTACAAGTGAATCTATATTCTATGTGAAAGTTTTCAATGGTGCAAGTTTATAACCAAAGCTGGGTTTAACAGATGCTTTCTGACTTCTGAAAACATCATAAAAATCCTTCCTAAAGTGAACAAACTAAAGTTACAAGTAGGTGACACCAGTTGTTTTTTCCCTTTATGCGTGATGAACTTCATGAAGCATTAACTCCTGAGGTATATTTATTTCTGGACTATACAACTTACATCCTCTTCTTTCAAGGCAGCTACCATCTGCTTTACAACTTCATCAAAAAACAATGTGGCAAGCTGAGAGTGTAGAAGAGATTGCAATTCAAAAGAAATTGAAAAATCAGAGGTACACATTTTTCAGTAGCCTGGAAGACCTGGGCTAAAACACCAGTCTCCAAATGATCGAGAAGTTTCCCATCAATACAGGATGCCTTTCCAAAATGAGGTTTCACCAAGGTTACTACTGATGTATATTGCCCCAACACAGGTGGAAACCCAATTTCTAATTGTGTTTTACAATATCCGGATGTCTTTGATACTACATTTGATGTTTTACACCAAGGAATGAAATGCTTGTAATCCTCTATTCCTGATACTAGATCATGCATTTCCTTCATGTTTCTTGAATGTCTTAAAATTCTTCTCTCTGAATATTCTTTCCTTTTGTTTATTAATGGTGCCGCAATTTTGAAGAAAGTTCTTGCACATATCTCCTTAGGCAAAATTGAGGTATGTAGTAGAAGAGTTCTGCTCATCAGTATACCACAGGAAGCTAAATATCTGACATTCTGCACAGGCCCCTGCACTGGAGCCCACACTCCGACCACTGTAGCCGACTTCAGATGGCATCCCAAGACCACCCTTCTCAAGGCTGCCTGACCAGTCCAAGCTACCATGATAGACTCCTCTCCAGCCCTTTTATAAGACATGAATCCATTCATAAGGGCAGAGCCCTCATCACTTAATTACTTCCCCAAAAGGCCCCACCTCTTAATATCACCTCATTGGGGATTAAGCTTCAACATGAATTTTAGAAGGTCACCATCATTCAAACCATATCAATCTGTTTATCTGTTGTTTAGTTGTAAACTGGCATAGAAAGCCAAATGAAGTATGAGGGGCTTTATTCATGGTCACTGTATTTGCCCACTGTGTATCTCATCAGGATTTCTCTACATATCCTCTTTCCTGGAGTTTCTTTTAGTGCAAGGTTTACCTACGCTACATGATAGCTATAGGAAAAAATCCTGGTATTTCAAGCTAATGTTTGTGAAGAACATCCCCTGTATCTTAAGACTTGCATAATAAATAGCATTCCACTCAAAAGACATCTTGCAATACTGGTATAGTTAGCTATAAGAATATCAAGCAATATAAGGTAGGAGACCTGGGTTCAGGTTTCAACTGTGTAATTTACTAAACCATATGACTTTTTAACCTCTTTCAAATCTGTCTCCTTCTTTCCATGCCTCCTTCACTGCTTTGATTTAAGCCCTTCTTACATAGCTCCCTTTCAGACTTGACTCCAATACAGCTGCCAGAGTGATCCTTCTAAGATGTTAATCAGTGTCAAGTCTTTTTAATGAGTCCCTACAGTTCTCAAGATAAAGTTCAAACCCCTGAATTTAGTATACACAGGCTTTCATGAGCTGCACTTTCCCTAACTCCCTAGTCCTAAGATTGTAAAGTGAGACAGGCTGTTAGCAAAATGCAGCTCACATATGTGTTCGGTCGAGTTTGCACTGTTTTTTGTTTTGTTTTTTTTTTTTAATTTTGTACCATCATTAATTTAAAAATTGAAACCTTTTATGGCTTTGGAAACTGGAAGATATTCCCTCACATGGTGGCAATTGGTTATACTGACTGTTCTCTTTAGAATGGACATTCACTCTTAAATTTACTACAGTTTCCACCCACAAAGTTTTACCCCCTTATGTAACTTGTGGGCAATTTGCATTCACCTCTGGCCTCATCTCTAACCACTTTTTTATGTTCATCATTTATAGCACTGAACTATGCCAAATTCCTCCAATGTTGTCTGACTACCTTTGCCTGGAATTCTCTCCTGCCCTTTTCATTTCTTTGTCTCACTAAAAGTGCCAAGTAACAAAGGTATTCCCCCCAAAAAGGGGACTGTCTGCTTTTGATTAGCTACCTTCTATAGAAGCTGACTGCCTGGACAGATCATTGTCCAAAGACAACAAAAAGCTCATCCATTAGTCACCCAGTGGCATTTAACAGGAAGGAAATATTGGTGCTTCAAGGAGGGCATTTATTTAGCCTTAATACTAGCCTATTTGGCATCATAAATAAGAGAAAGAAAAGATGAAGAAATATGTCAGAAATAGATTCTGATTCAAATGCTACAATTGGGGTTAGTTACCATTAAATAGCAAAATAGAAAATGGATGACTCCTATGGCAAATGGTTTGGGGAGAGACAATGTCGAAGTTGCTTGGCATGACAATGAGTGCCTTAAAACCGTTTGGCCTAGAAGTTTCATCTGCAGGAATTTATCCAAGGAAAATAACCAGGAATGTACGCAAATAACTGAATGATATTTATAATAGCAAAAAAAAAGAAGCAATGTAAATGTCCAACATTAGAAAATTGGTTAAGTCATTAGTTTTTAGACAGTACTTCTTAAAGTATAGGATTCCATAGGAGTGTGTTGATAACCATGTCAGAAAAGCCACAGGCTCTTCATCACCACTTCAATCAGAGTAGTTTCAGTTTTATGTGTTGTACATATTAAGGTTCCATGTGAGACTTTGTTTAGAAAAAAAAAAATCCGATCATAAAAATAAAAATTTGAGCCAGGCATGGTGGCTCACACCTGTAATCCCAGCACTTTGGGAGGCCAAGGCAGGTGGATCACGAGGTCAGAGATCGAGACCATCCTGGCTAACACGGTGAAACCCCATCTCTACTAAAAATACAAAAAATTAGCCAGGCATGGTGGCAGGCGCCTGTAGTCCCAACTACTCGGGAGGCTGAGACAGGAGAATGGCACGAACCCGGAAGGTGGAGCTTGCAGTGAGCCGAGATTGCGCCACTGCACTCCAGCCTGGGCGACAGAGCAAGACTCCATCTCAAAAAATAAAATAAAATAAAATAAAAATTTGAAAACCACTGGACTCTGTAAATTCTAGTAACTTATACGACAATATATATTTGGAAACATGTATGTTAACAGCTCAGTTATCTTTGGGTAGTGACTTTTTTGTTTGTTTGTTTTTGCTTGGATTTTTCTGTGTTTTCCATATTGTCTACAGCGAACATGGTACTTACTATAGCCAGACCAAAAAAAAAAAAAAAAGGTTTTTGCAAAAAAACAAAAAAGGAATTGACAACAAATAGTCCACAAGCCACTGAAAATTCTTCAGCTTACCATTTTTGGCATTCAAATAATAGGTTTGTAAACCTGCTGTAGCTATGAAATGTTTCCTACTAAGTATAGGTTATAAAGAACGTTGAAGATACAGTTCAACACCCTCATTTTACATTTGAAGAAACTATGTCCAAAATGTTTCACTTTGTCGAAGCTAGAGCTGGGACCTCATGGTCTTCTGATTCCATTGCCTTTTCTGCTATCCACCTAATTTATAAAATGTATATTCATAATTCTCATTTCTTCCATTTATGTCTACCTAGTTGGAGCATTCATCATTGTGTTACTACTTTTTCCTTTGAGTGAAAACTATTATTTTTGAGGTGCCAGTGATCAAATTTCTCTGTTTAAAAAACTTTGTCACAAACCTAGAACATTAAAACAGGTCCAAAAGCTCTCATATAACTAATTGTTCTGATATACACAATTGGAATTTTATAATTGACTTTATTCCACTAATTCATTAAATGTGCATGTTTAGTCAAATTTATAATTTGGAATTGAACTAAATTGACTCCAAATATTCTTACTGTTTTCATTCTCTCTTGGCATCTACAAGGAAGACATTAGAACATGTTCCATGTGCCCCACCTTCCTTCTCAGACATGAATGTACTTGTGAAGCACTCTGTCTTGTATTTTAGGGTCTTAACTCATCTCGGAGTTATCTTACTATGATCACATTGATCTAACCCCCAAAGTAATGGATCTGTGTAATATTTTCTACATATGTATGTGTGTCAGGACTTTCCCATGGTTTCTTTCGCATTTTAATGTTGAGAAGTGAAAACTGGGTATCCAGTCAAGCTTGGAGAGTCTGAAGAAATAGTATGAGGTAATGTGTTTCAAATAAAGGAAAATGAGAAGATTCATAAACTTAAGTCACTTCCCAAAAACCTTCTACCAACCCAGAGCAAAAAAAAAAAAAAAAAAAAAAAAAACGAATAATTCATGATGAAAGGTAATCAAATACATAAAATACATAGAGGTTTTTAAGGTGAAATTGATATAGTTTGTTATTGATGATCCTATTCATGAAAAAACTTAGAAAAGAGGGATTTTGTAGAGCACTCTTTTCATTTGATGTTTAATTCTTCTGGTAAAAAGGGAAGTCCATATACCCAATAACATATTAGATCTATAACCAACCACACAATATTGTACCTTAACTCAGTGACTAAGAATTTTTTTAACCATTTTCTCTAAGAATCCTAATGTTTTAATTTGCTTAAAATGTTAATCTTTCAGATGTGTATCTCATAGAGAACATTTTGCTTAAAAGAATTGTAATTAAAACTGAAATCATTTATAAAGTTGTTTGTACCAAAATAATTCCTTTGAACATCACATGTAGGAAATTTGGGGTGAATTTTTAAATATTTTTAAATGTCATAGTTTTATGACCTCTTCTGATTTAGTCATTCTCATTGTTTTAATGCACTTGGGCTGTTGTTCATTTACTCTAGGATTGAGCATAGAAGCTCATAGATGTAAAATGGAATTTGATTTGTAAACAATCAATTTAATAACTTGAATTTCATGTAAATATATTTTCTCATGATTAAACCTTTGTTGACATAATATGTCAGTGTTTCCAAGGAAGCATTCACATTTAGGAGTAACTATGCTATTAGCTAAAAATTTCAATATAGAAATATTATTGTGACACCTCTTAAAGTTTTAAGTTAAATACTTATATACTATTAGAATAGCACTACCTGATTATTTTCTAGATAATATTTAAGAATAATATTTTATGTATATATTAAACAGTAGTTTTCAAAGCACACACAGATTATTTCATTTAGTTTTGACATACACCCTGGGAAAGACAGAAATGAGGAAGATTATTTAAAAATTAGGATAGTGAGATTAGTGACAGACTCAAAATTTCATGGCTGTTATTTGATAGGGCAGGCCTAGAACCTGGTGCTTGCCCAGGATTATTTCTGCTTATCTTTTAACCTCTATAAATGAAGACATATACCCTAGAATTGTTTACAGCTTAATAAAAAGCAAGTTGCAGAATTGTACATATGTTCTAAAGCAAATAATATAAACAAAAAATACCAAATATTTTCCATTGTTACCTAAATAAATGTGTAGAAGTTTACATATAAACTGTTAAGATTGGTTATCTCTGGGGTATGTGGGGCTGGAATTGACACTGAGGGGTGTTTCAAAGGGGGTTCTAGCCTTATCTGAAATACAATCTAAATATATTTCTGTATGGCTTGTGAAGTTAAAAATTTTTCATTTAACTTTAAGGAATATACAGGTAGACTATGAGAGTTACTGAGCTATACCAGGAAGGAGTGGGAATGGATAGAGAGGTACATGGAAGAGTCGCTGCTGTTTCATGAATAAAAACAGGTCATTACACTGTCTTTGGAATCCCTATGTAATTATTTTATGTCTTGTTGTAACCTACTGGTTGACAGAAATAAAGGAATCAAAAGAGTGTCTTTTCAGAATCATTCTAATTTGTTCATAGTTTTGGGAAATATTCCACAAAGATAAACTGGCCATGGTGCCATATTGTGCAACTAATTAATATCGGTCAAGGGGGGGTTGTTTGTTTCATTGACAATAGCACTGGTAAATTAAAAGTAATAAATTCAGTTGAAAACCACGTGTAATTCTGAGTCGTATATGTTCTGATCCCATTGGTAACTCCTTTGGGCTTTGTTCAGCGGGGCGGAGGCATGGTTCATGATTCCCTCCACTGTCACTTCACCCTCCTGGAATGTAGCAACTGATTTTCAAAAGCTGAAACCATGACTTTTCACAGGAGCTTGTTATTCCTTTTTTCAAAGTTTATTTGAATCAGAGTGGGATTAGTCTAAGATATCCCCTGTGCTTGGCATGTGTTCCTTTAGAAAAGCTAGCTGATCCAGCCCTTAATTCCTGGTTAGTAAGATAATAGACATAGCTGGGTGAGGTTCTAAAGATGGAATAATTTGGCACAACACATCTCTGACTGAAATCTAAATGTGACTCTTGAGACCAATGGACTGAATTGGTCTGTCTGCGTGAATTTCACTTTCCTTTCTCAATTAATCAACTTCGTGTCTGAAGTGTCTAAAAGAAGCTCTTCTCTAACTTTTCTGGCTCACACATTTACTTTTCTGTCTGACAGCTTGTCACCTTTATTCTAGGCCCAAAGCATCCAACAAGTAGTTTTTGCCCTTGCTTAGTGGCTCTCTGATACAATTTTCCAAAATGTACACTTTATAATCCAGGAAATCCTCTACATTCATGATAGCCATAACAGTGATGGCAATAATAAGAGCAGCTAACATTTATTTAGCCCCATGTGATTATGGGGGCTGGCAAGTCTGAAATATGTATGGCAAGCAGGCTGGCTGGAAACTCAAATAGGAGTTAATGCTGCAGTCTTGAGGCAGAATTTCTTCTCTTGGAAACCTCAGTTTTTGCCCTTAAGGCCTTTCCACTGATTGGATGAAGCCCACCCATATTTTCTAAGGTAATATCCCTTACTGAAAGTCAACTGATTGAATATATTAACGACATCAACAAAATAGCTTCATAGCAACACCTAGAATAATGTTTTATTGAATAACTAGGTACTCTTACCTAATCAGATGACACATAAAACTAACCATCACAAGCTAGGAACACAAAGTACCTGAGAAGATTGAGAAGGAATGTTGAGAGAGGTGGACAATGGGGGGTTATTGCAATAATGCAATAACTGACGATGTGCATGTAAAGTAGTTGAGGACTAGATGAAAATTATGGGACAAATCTAAACAATGTGAACGAGGTAGAGTTGACGGTATCTGGTGACCTTTTGGACAAATAATGTAATCAGTAGTAGGAGACTGCCACCAATAATAAATTCATTGACCATCAGTTTTCTAGTCTGGCCTGTGAAGGATTAAGATTCGTGTATGTTGTGTATCTAGGATTTGTTAGGCATACTGCCTCAGTATAATGACACAGAGTTTTTGAATGACTCTTCTCCAGCCCATTCTCCTGCCCTCTTACCCTGCCTTTTCACATCAACATATTTTGAGGAAATTGAAAAAGAAGGGCATGAATTTTGAAAAGATCCATTAGTAGGCTTGGCATTCTGCCCATTCATAACATTTCAGGGACAATATGAGAAAAGAAGAGAAACATCTTTTGTACAAAATCATTGGCCGAAGCTTAGCCATCTTGGTTTACAAACAATCTAAAACCCAATATCCTAGTGTAACAGAGAGAGAATAGCACAGCTTTCTATGCCTTATTTCACAAATGTTAATGTGAAGGAGAAAAATAAAGCAAGTTAATTTTATTAATGTTGATATTTGACTATGCCAACCAGAAAACTTACTATTTTATAATTTACAATAGTTTTATTTGCTTACATTATAAATGATCCAGAATGGAGATGGAGAGAGGTATATAGAAATCTAATCGTAAAATCTTCATGATACATTTCCATCCATATAATATTCAAAAGACTGGACTTGCTCTCAATGTTTTGACCATCTGTATAGTGTTAAGTTCCTCCCGAAAATGTGTAATTTTTTTTACTGGAACATATTTTAAATGAATGAATAAATGCATGTCATATATTCATCTTTTCAAAAAACAGTTTTTTGGTTTGTTGATTTTCTCAATTGTTTTCAATTTTATTGATTTCTGCCCTAATATTTATTATTTATTTTCTTCTGCTTGCTGTAGGCTTAAACTGCTCTTCTTTCTCTAGTTTACTAAGTTGAAAGCATAGGTTATTATAGACCTTAGACCTTCTTTTCAAATATATGCATTTAAGGCTATAAATTTCCTCTCTAAGCACTGCTTTCGTTGCATCCCACACACACAGTTAGCTGACTTGTATTTTAATTTTCATGTACTTCAAAGTGTTGAGTGTCTTCTTGACCCATATGTTCAGAAGTATATTAATCTCCAAATATTTTGGGATTTTTCTGCTGTCTTTCTAGTACTGATTTCTAGTTTCATTTTCATTGTGGCTTAAGAACACACTTTTTATGATTTCTATTCTTAATTTGCTAAGGTGTTTTTTATGGCACAGAATGTGGTCTGTCTCTGAATGTTCCATGTGAGCTTGAGAAGAATGTATATCATGCAGGTGTTGGATGGAAGATTCTATAAATGTCAATTAATCAAGTTTATTGATACTGCTCTTCAGGACAACTATATCCTTTCTGATTTTTTGCCTACGTGACCATATCAGTTACTGAAAGCAGGCTATTGAAGCCTCCAACTCCAATAATGCATTTGTCTTATTCACCTTTCACTTCTATCAGTTTTGCCTTGTGTATTTTGACATGCTTGTTAGTTGCATACAGGCTTAGGATTATTATATGTTCTTGTCTATTATGTCTTATTTGACTGAAAAAGTCTTTATTTCTCCTTCACTATTGAAGGATAATTTCACTGAATATAGAATTCTAGGCTGGTGGGTTTCTTTCTTTCAACAGTTTAAGTATTTCTCTCCACTCTCTTTTTGTTTACATGGCTTCTGATGTCCACTGTAAATCATACCTTGTTTCTGTGTATGTAAGATATTTTTTACCCTCTGGCTTCTTTCAACATTTTCTATTTGACTTGGGTTTTCTGTAGTTTTTAATATGACATGCCTAGGGATATGTTGGTTGAGTTTCCGCTATGGTGTTCTCTAGGCTTCCTGGATATCTGAATTTTGTGACTGGCATTATTTTTAGAAAATTCTTGATAATTATTACTTCAAATATTTTTTCTACTCTGTTTTCTTTTTCTTCTTCTGGTATTCTAATTATATATATACCTTTTGAAATTGTCTAACAGTTCTTGGATATTCTGTTCTATTTTTTCATTCTTTTATCTCTTTCAGTTTATATCATTTTTTGTTGACCTGTTTTTAAGCTTACTGATTATTTCATTAACTGTATTTATTCTACTGATGAGCCCATCAAAGGTATTCTACATTTCTGTTACAGTGCTTTTGATTTCTAGCATTTCATTTTGATTCTTTCCTGGAGTTTCCCTGTGTCTACTTACATTACCCATCTGTTCTTGCATATAGTCTACTTTTTCCATTAGTATCTTTAATATATTAATCATAATTACTTTACCGTGTCTGATGACTTGAACATCTGTGTCATATTTGAGTATGGTTTTGATGCTTGTTTCTACTATTAAACTATGTTTTATTCCTTGCTTTCTGGAATACCTTGTAATTTTCTGTTGAAAGCTGGACATGTATCAGGTGATAGGAACTGAAGAGAATAGACTTTTAGTGTGAAGATGTTCATTTGGGTAAGAATTGTGCTATATTTAATGTTTGTTGTAGCTGTAGGTGTCAGAAGCTTCAAACTCCCTCCTGTTGTCCTTGCTTTTGTCTCTGCTGTGAAATTTTGGCTTTCCTAAATTCTTCTCAGAGATAGTCTGCATCTTCAGCTCTTTCAACTGCAGTCCACTGTTATAATACTGGAGTCCTGTTGGTGTGGTGGTATGATGTGGGAGAAAAGCATTCTTGATTTTTGTGATTGAATCTTAGTCTTTTAGCTGACCTGTACCTTGGGGACTGTGACCTCTACAAGTATTTCTCTGGTGTTGTACCTTTTTTTCCCTTCTTAGGTGAAACAAGTTGGTAGAGGAGGTTGAAACATGAGCAATATACATATCCCACGTGGGATAGGGTTCACTTCTTTCCTAGAGAATAGGCCTTTGTTATGGAGAAAGACCTGGGCATATTTCACAATGATGACTCTCCCCCTGGCAGAATCAGGAGAAGCTCTTTCTTGGATCTTTACCATGAAAATCTGGTGGTGTTCCTGGACATAAACTGTAGGAAAGGATGGAGACTCCCTAAGACTGTGGCCTCCAGGAGTTTCTCACTCTCATGCTAGTCTACATTAAGTCTCCAGCAGTTCATTAAAATTCCCCTTTGAGTGTTCCTATCAATTTTTGGCTCCAGTGGCCTCTACCCCAGGTAACCACATCTCAGTTGTGACTCTCTCGATTTGTCTTTCTCCAGATTTTTGGATGGTTGT
The DNA here is from genome assembly GCF_000001405.40 of Homo sapiens. Lineage (NCBI taxonomy): Eukaryota > Metazoa > Chordata > Mammalia > Primates > Hominidae > Homo > Homo sapiens. The sequence goes on from NC_000005.10 coordinate 83,290,148, forward strand.
TTGCCCTGCAACCTCAGTTATCTAATTGGTATAAAAAAAGTAATTGACTTTCAGTTTGTTCAGCTTTTTCTTGTTAGGGTAGGAGAAAAGATTATCTTTACGTATTGAATATCTCCTTCATATAATAAATTTATTTAATCCATAAATAAATGGAAAACCACAATATTCTTATTTTGACTTATATATACATTGTATAGAATTATATATAAAGTGGATGCCCTTTTATTAATTCTATTTAAGAAAATAGAAACTTAAATATCTATATTTTATTCATTTTATAAATATTTATAACATTATTACTATTATATATCTTAAGTATTCTGATCATATTCTGCACTATGTGATTTGTAAAGATTATCTGCTAAAAATCAATCTTTAGTAGTTGGACACTGTAAAACATACTAGTAAGGCCCAACCTGGTGTTGCTTGTCTGAAAAATAATTTAAAAGAATCTGTTTCACTTTATCTGTTACTCACTTAAAGGGAAAATTTTCATTCTGACTTCTTGTTTAAGAGTTCATGCAGCAATTTGGAGAGTTTAGGGATTTTCTAAATTAGTATGAAGGAGTTCAAGTTCTCCACAATTTTTTCCCTAATTAAATAAATTGAATTTTTATCCTTTTGTCAATGCCCACTATGCAGAGATCTGTAAAGTGCTGTGCTACAAAATTACCACCCTTTATGAATATTGGCAGGTAAAGACTTACTCTTCCTTAGGCATTATAATGTGCCTTTATTGCAGGGGAAATGTAGTATACCCACAAAATCATTACTTTGTTGTTTTGTTGGGTTTTATATTTTTATTCAGCTTACATAGATTATTCATGTGTTTTCAAAACTTTAAAATCAACAGATGAATGTGAATACATTCTGGTAGAAAATAAAGTGAACTTTGCTGGTATCTTGTAATCTCTCTAAACATTTACATATGTAAATATTTGTGTATCTTTTTTTTCTGAAATGTATGACAGTTCTCAAAAGCAAGACAAAAGAAACAAACAAAAATCATCGGAGGCACCCCAGTGAACTGGAAAACTTAAAGGATGAGAGTTTAAAGACATATTCTAAGCCTTGATTTGCCACAAGTTTGTGTGACTTTGAGCTCCTTTACCACCTCATCCCCCTTTTAAAGTATCAACCATAAATGGGAATACTACACTAGGTAATTAGTAAGAGCACTTTCAGCTCATAAATTGTATAATTCTATGTCACAATCCACACTGAGATTATTATCTTTAAAAAATTGGTCATTTTTCTATAAAATTTGCCTGTTTCCTTTGTATATTTTTTCTTTATTTTGAGTTGGAAAGGATAAGAAAGAACAATGAAAAAAATAGTAGCAATGCTTTTCTTAGATCAAAATCTATTAGTGGACTTACATGTAAGCCAGGTAAATAGATGCTTACATAGAATAGCTGGTGGAGCAGCAGAATAGAATATATTCCCTCACACTTCATCTGCTTTTGTGCCACAGTGCTATGTGTGCTCTACTTCTTTAGGTTAAGACAGCTGGGCCTGTTTTTTTCAAATTCATATGTACCTGACTACTTACCGACTTTATCAGCCAAGTCATCTTAATTTATTAGGTGCTTTCCTCTGTAACAGCTCATTTGGAGGCACTATATGTTACAACTTTTGATTTGGACATGATGATAAGAGAAGACAACTGGATTCTGAGGCACTGCTCAGGCAGGGTAAATGTTGACTTCAGATATAGTTCAGATGGATGGATGGATGGACAGATAGATGAGTTATATATATGTTTATATTTATATAAATACTATATATGTTATATGTGTATTTCTGTGTGTGTGTGTGTGTGTGTGTGTGTGTGTGTGTATTTTATGGTGTAGTAGAAAGTGTAGGACTTGAGGACATCTTATAAATGAGATATCAAGAAAGGTGAAGTAAAACCAGCAAGCTTTGTAGAGAAAAAAATGTAAACTTTATTATTTCTTATAGAGCAGCATCTCATAGAGTTTGTTCCTTGATATAGTGAAAATTGCCTGGCAAATAACAGGTTCCCTTGTCATATGCTTTTGGGAAACTTCACAGGCTATAGCCCTTGCCTAAGATTCACGGTGCACATTGTCATGTTGGCATTATTGAACCAACATTTTCCAAATGTGTTTGAATTGAGAACCCCTTTTACTGCAGTGTTTCATGGAATTTTGGAAAACAATGGCCTGAGCAGTTTCTGATTATAATTATTATAGTTTCTGCTAAGTATCCGTCAGTATAATTGGGATTGACTAAATGTTTTTCTGCTGAAGAATTCAGTGTTTCATGTTATTCCTTACCCACAAACTTAAGCTCAAAATCTAATTTAAAACAAATCTTTAAATATACATTTGACTTACCCACTGTTTGTTTTATGGTAATGAAATAGCAATATTCTATTTCATAAATAAAACATTTTGAGTAGTACTATATTCCCCAAATTAATGAAATTATTTAACTTTTGTAAATAAAATTAATGAATAGTTCTGCAAGTTAAACAAAGCAGTAATTTTTCTTTATTCTCACTGTTACAGGCTAGTTAATATCCCAGTAGACTGAATACACAAGAAACTCTTTTTCTTTTTCTTTTTCTTTTTTAACTTAGTTGTTTGAGCAATAGCATATTAACTAAATGATTTTTTATAAATTCATAATTTAATCAGATATGCATTTTTCTTATTTATTTTCTAGATTGGATGACAAAACTATATTTTGGATTTCTCTTAGTTTTTATGAAAAGAAGAAGTTAAGTCTTAATCTTATAGATGTGATGACAGGATAAAATACTCTTAAATCTCTGTATATGGTAATCTAGGTATAATTAGTCACAATTGTCATAAACAATAGAAATAACAGATTTATTATAGACCTTTTTTTTACTTAATGTAATTTTATTTAACAATTATAATTTTACATGTAAATAAGGATGTGGAACTCGGGATTTGTCAGCTGACTAAGCCTACCTTCCCATGGTTTTATTCCCAGGCCACCACACCAGAGACTGTGTCTCTAGCTGTGAACCCTGTAGTAGACATTCTTTACTCTTTCTTATTTACTGCCAGTCATATTTCTCTTATGTATCACCATAATGTCTTTCTTCCCTTCCAAAGGAAATGATATTCTTTTCTATGACCAAAAGTCAGCAACTAACTCCTAGTATAATACTACACTATGCTTAACCTATCAGTGCTTTTCTCAAGTTGGACGTATAGAAGTTACTCACATATATCTGTCATCTCATCCATTCATCCCTTCACATTTCTTCATGTTTCTTTTTTCCTCTTTTCTTTTTCTTTCTTTTTTCTTTTTTTGTTTAAACTGCTCCCTGTTTGAAAATTCTTATTCCTTCACATCTTTTATAATTTAACCCATCAAAAGTTACCTCTTCTAATCAGACTTTCTTGGAAATCATGAGAACAATCTCTCTTTCCTCTTTGAGCTTGTAGGCTGCTAAGCACATCCTCTAATATCGAACCCATTTTGCCCTATATTTATGTATGTGTCTTCCCTCCATTATCAGTTTGTAAATTTCAGGCAGAGATAGCACTCCTGCATTTTCTGTATTTCATGGCACTTAGCATGATACTTGTACATTGAGTGATAGGTGTGCAACAGATATTTTTTGAATTGATAAATGAGTGAATGAATGTGTGTTTATGTCAGATCCTATAAGAAAAAGAATATACAAGTACAGAAGCAATTCTGGTTTTGAACAGAGCAGATTGCAAAAGATACTTTTAAATTAAAACTATAAAAATAACTGATGTATCAGTATTCTTTTAAAAGTTGGTTTTATTTTAAAAATTGTAGATACCAATGACATTAATAGCTAACTAATTCTTCTGGTTTCTTTTAAAATCTCTTTTCCAAAATGTTCAAGGATGTTTGACTTTTGTTTTTTTTTCTCTCTCTTTTAATCATAAATAGGTATAAACAGTGCTTTAAATACTCTGAGTACTAAAGAACAAAATTATGACAAAAAGAAAATGACCATGACTAATTTTCAATACTATCTGTTGGTAGCAACCAGATACACTTGCATTCTAACCAGTGGCATGTATTTGTACAAAAGTTTCTAAGTACACAAGAGGAACTTGCAGGTCATTTTTTGCCAAATAGTATTTTGTGCCAAAGAAATATAATTGAAAGACAATGAGGATGATAGATTCAGTTGTTGAATTTCTAGAAATTTAAAATGTTGGTATTTTGAACAAAAAATATAAAGTTATGAAATAGTTCAAAGATAGAATGATAAAAATAGCTTTACCGATTACTTTAGCTGTATTGTGCTCTGAAAAGTCATGTGCTCCAATTACTCATGACTGTCAGTTAAACTTCGGTGAACTGGCTAAACAAAAATGTTTTAGGAGCATTGGATAGCTATGTAACATTTTACTAAAAAGAATTAGTGTGTCTTATGAGAATTATGGTTGCAGATTGCCATTAGCAGCAAATTCTGTCTACCTCAATAGCTTTTTAGGAATTAATTGAGAAGACTTCTGGTTGCCTTATTAGTTCATAGGCAAATAATAATAAAACTAACATAGTTATGGTTAAAAGATCATGTATCAAAAATAAAACATATAAAATACAATATCAGGGATGAGGCCTGAATTTTAGGTATTCATAATTTACTAGTGATGTATTACTAGTTCATGTAAATTTAGTTAGCTTTTATGATAATGCTTTTTTTCTAGTGCTCACTTTTTAAAGTGTGATTTTATGGAACAAGAGGTTTCTTGGAAGCACCCTGTGGTGATATGATAAAAATCCTTGAATCCATTTAGATAGGTTAATAGCAAAATTAGTAGACAAATAATGCTTCCCTGGAGTTCTGGAGCATCATATCTCAAAGTTTTTTATGTTAAGCATTATATCTTAGAAGATTAGTAAATGCTAAATAAGGAAAAGAGTGAGGAGTTTGCAGACTCTTCAAATATAGGAAACAATGGACTGAGTAAAAGTAAAAGGATTCCTTCTTAAATCTTTTTATATACTAATGTGCATCATGAACTCTCAAGAGGGACATATAGTGAGCAGCACTTTCAAAAATTATTTGACCACCAGACCACTTTTTAACTGAACATCACTACCAGTATGGAACATGTTTTCTGAAACACTGTCCTCCTAAGTGTTTCTAAGTGAGAAAAAAAGAAAAATGATATGCATATAGAATAATCTACCTTACATATCTGTCATAAAATGTTGTATATAATAAGATGCCATGAGAAAAGGCACCCACGTCGTCATCATAGAGCTTACATGTTAGGGGAAAAACTTTATAAATAAGCTGACAGATACAATAAATAATTGTACTCCATGATATGTGCTATGAGGGAAACAAACAGGGAGTTGAGATGGAGAATTGCAGAATGAATCTGCCCTAGGTAAGATGGTCAGGAAGGACTCCAGGCAGGTAATATTTAAGCTGCATGTAAACAGAAAGTACTCATCTTTTTAGGGGTGAGGTATTCCATGAAGAAAGAAGAACATGCAGAGGCTCCAAGGTGGGAAGAAACTGGCCATGTTTAGATAGAAGCATACACAGGAAGTAACACACACACACATGCACGCACACGCACACGCACAAACATGCACATGCACAAGCCTATCTAGCATGGAGAGGTAAGCAGGATCCAGATCATGCAGAGCCTGGATGCCAAAATGAGAGAGTTTGGAATTTACTCTGTATACTTTGGGAAGCTTTTGCAGGGTTTTAAAGAGGGAACTGTGTTATTTGATTTACATCGTGAGAAGATCACTTTTTCTACTCTAAGGTAGATTGATTAAAAGTGGCCAAGAGTAGAACTTTAGAGGACCAGTTAGGAGGCTGTTGTAATCCAGATGAGAGATGAAAGGGATACTGTGTTAATAGACTGAAAATAGAGTTTGATGCTTTCCAGTGGGAGATAAGAGGGAAGCAGCAAATAAGCATGACCTTGATCTCCTTTTCTTCCTCGTCTCTCCTTTCCAAATAGCACAACCAGAGATATTTAACACCACTGCTTTATGCCAAAGTATTAAGTATGTAAGTTACATATCTCTCTTGAGTTTGACTTTATTTGATGTAATGTTTGGAAGACTTCCAAAATGATCAACAGAGACAATGTGTAAAATCTCTTGAAGTCACATTTTCCCTTTGGCCTGTTTTATTCATCCTATTCTGACACTTTAATTTATTTCAACACAGTCTTTCACTTTGAATAAACCTCATTTGCTTTCACCTTAATTATGACAGTCTTGCATAGGACATACAAATGAACAATACATTGATTCTATAAGAAATAAGAATTTCTTTGACAAGGATATGCCACCATGGCATTCTCTGCCATAGCTGTTCTTATTAGTATCATTTACACTAGCCAGATGTTATTTCCCCTAAATTTAAATCATGCTTAATACCATTTATGGACTTTAACTCAATGATAAAAAAATTTATTTATTTTATTTTTTGTGGTACATGAATTATATTTTATTAGATGGAAGGAGGTTGTGAAAGTGAGAGCAGAAATTAAAGTAAAAAACAATTAAAGAAGAGCAATAAATTAAAAATTTGGCCCTCTGGAAAGATTAAAAACATTGTTTTGGTGAGATTTTGAAAGGAAACAAATTTGAAATATGGGAAAAGTAAGTAATATTAGTAAGAAAAAAGTAACAGAGATTAAAATTATAAATAGAGATTACTATGACCATTATATACCAATATATTTGAGTCTAAACAGAATAGACAAATTACTAGAAAAAAATAAGTGAAGAAGCAGTTTAAAATATTCCCATTAAATAGAAACAATTCGGTGCAATCTTACAGACAATTGCCAACAGACTTGCAAAGAATGGATCATTCAGATTGTACAAAAACCTTGAGCAAATAAAGAATGAACATCTTGGATAATAAAGGGAGATAATATTATTAACAGAAAGGAAAATTACAGGGCAATCATATATGCATATAAATGCAGAATTTCCTAACAAAATATAAGTAAACTGAATATGGTAACATTTCAAAAAATAAAACATCTTTACCAATTTGGAATTATACTAAAAGTGTTAGTGTCATTAAATATTATGTAACAGATCAAAATTTAATGATAAAATATTTAAAACAAGACTAAGTTATTGAGGAACCTCTTTCATATTGAGTGTTTGTGCTACACAGAAGTATTGTGAAGATTAATTTTAACTTCACCTATTGAAATTTAAATTACACATACTTTTATATGTTAGCCAAATTTTATGTATATGAGGATTGTAGAGAAGTTAGAGAAGTTTGTTTAGTATTTGCCACATGTGCATTTACAAACTGAATTTCTTCAAAACGCAATGCTTAGGAACATTTTCTCTTGAGTTTTCTATGATTATTAAATGAATACACCAATACATATTTTAAATAGCTATTAATATCAGTTAACAGAAATAACAAGTATTTTTGTTTTGGAGCTTGGTCGTGAAGAAGAAATACCTAATAGTGAAATTTATTAAATTTTAAACAATATTATAGAGTAAGATTATATAATGCTTTAAAAGTAAACTTAGATATATGTGACTTAAGTATAATAGTAGGCCTAGTTTTTGTTATTTCTCTTTGGTACTGAAATTGTTAAATAGGAACATGAATATATGTGAAGATATGTCTTTTCATGCACGCTTCAAGTTCTCATTATTTCTCATCTTATTTATTATCTTTTACTCCTAATGCAGCTCTCTGCTCCCATCTCTAAGCAAGTCTCCACCTTGCTGCCAAAAACAGCAGATTAACAGAATCATTAACAAAAGATTTTGTCTTTCTAAAAATTTATGCCATTCCCATTTGAAATGTATTCAGTTTAAAATACAAACTTTTTCTCTTGCTGTGTAGGACCTTTTAATGCATCATTTCTTTATGCCTCTGCCTTACACAGCAGAAGCATATTATCATTATCATTACCATTTTGCACTTTAGGAGATTGAAGCTTAGAGAGGTTAAATAAGTTCAACAAAGTCGTAAAGCACATAAATGACAGTATAAATTACACACTGTATGAATCCAGTCCTTTGAAGTTTGTTGAAAACCGTCTATGGCACCATAAATGTTCTATGTGTGTTGAAAAAAAAAAACTGTCTACAATTGGGTGGAGTTTTATATATATATGTATTTTTTTCAGTTGATCAAATTTATTACTCTTGTTATTAAGATTTTCTGCTTTCTACCCATTTCCCTCTGTTTATCCTATGAAAAGAAATTTGGTAAAATCACCCTTATCTCTTTATAGTTGTCAATCTAAGGCTGTATAATTTGATCACAGAGTTTTATCTTCCTGAAGAAGAGAATCTTTCATTATTATAAAATGACTCTCAGTATTTCTCATGTTTTTATCTCAGTCTGTTTAATCTGATACTAATATAGCCACATGAGCATTCTTTTGATTAGTGTTTCCCTGGTATATCTGTTTATTCACCCTTGTTACTTTTCTACTTTATGTGTCCTTACATTTTAGAAATCTCTCTGGCATAGTACATTAAATGGATTTTTTTTTAATCTCATCTAGTAGTTTTTATCTTTTCTATTTTGGAGGAAATACATTGTTTCTCTTCTTTTAGTATCTACTCTTAAATTACAACATGTTCTCTTAACTTATGAAAGTATAAAGTCAACCAAGTACCCTTTGCTCTTGTCAGACAACAAACAGGAGTCTTCTGATTTGGAAGACATTAATTCCTTTAAATGTTAGCTCCCTTAACTTCCTTTAATTCCAAGTAACCTGCTAACTTTTATGTTATTTTTATGTCCTTGGAGAAAGTTTAATTAATTCTGTCTGTTTCTAAAGAATAAGACATTCTTATTGTTATTTTATATAGTCAATGCTCATTTTAATTTATCTGAAAATTTATAGCTTTCATTTTTTTTCTCCTTGCTTTTTAGCCTTATTATCCTAGATTATTTTACATTTGCATGAAGTACATTCTCTAGAGTTTCCTTCAATGAAGTTCCACTGGAAGCAAACTTCCCAATCTTAGTGAACTGAAAATATTTTTATTTTACTTTTGATTTTTGGAAAAAATTCTACTGGAGCTAGAATTCTGAGTTATTTCTTTCAGCATTCAAAGATTTAATTTCATAGGAAGTTGAGAAGTTGGCCAACAGTTTCACAATCACTCCTTTGGCGGTAATCCATCTTTTCTTACTGGCTATTTTTAAGATTGCTCTTATGTCTTTGGTGTTCTGAAGCTTCGACATGATACAACAAAATGTAGGTTTCTTTTTAGTTATTTTGCTTGCAATTTGTGATTTTTGAGGTGAAGGTTTGGTGAAATTCATCAGTTCTGAAAATTTCTCAGCCATTTTTTGTTAAATAGCCCTTCTGCCTCATTCTCTCTGTCCCTTCCTTTGTAACTCCAATTAGACTTATGTTATATCTTCTCACTCTGTTTTCCATGTATTTTAACCTCTCTTTTATGTTTGTTACTCTGACTTTTTATGTTGAATTCTCCATAATTCTTCTAGCCTTTCTTTCAGTTTTCTAATTATCTCTCAAATATGAGCAACTAATCTCTATTAAACTTGACCATTCCATTTTGAATTTCAAGTATCATGTTTTATTTTTAGATATTACGTGTTGTTTTCAAATGTGCTTTGTCATTTTTATAGTTTCCTGTTATCATTTTAAGCTTATCTTTTATTTCTTTAAGTATCATCAACATGGTTATTTTATTGCTGTCTCTGTTAGTTATAATATTTGAAATCTTCACCACCAACTTTTGTTGCTTTTGTTTCTACTATTCTTACTTATGTGCTTTGCCTCTTTATGAGTGAAGTGATTATTTATTATGTGATAGCCATTTCATGGAAAATTACTTGTGGAGATTCTTTGAGGCTTAGTATGAAGATGTTTTTCCTGAAAAATATTTGTCTTTGCTACTGCTTTGTACGTACACTATGGGACCACTTCAATGATTTGAGGTTGTTTTGTTTTAAAACTACATGAATTATATTAATTTGGGCTGCAAACATATCCAAGTGATTTGCAAACATACTTTTTGGTTACAAAGTGAGTCAGTAGTGTCCCACCTTTATAGATGGTCTCCTATTAGACTCTCCACTTTAGACAGGCCCTAGGCTTTGTCTCTCCCTGATGTGCTTCCCAAGTCTGTAAAAATACCTCACTAGCTCTCCAGTGCTATTAAGAAAAAAAAAGTGTATGTATGTTCTCTTTCTCTCTCTCTTTCTCCAATTTTAGATATTTTAAGCAGGAGATATTAGCTGAACACCTAACCTTTTATATAATTGGATGCAAGCATTCAATTTCATAAGCTTCTGAAACTTAGCAAGAATAGTACTAAAAGTATAACATAGAATAACCTTATGGGCAAAGTTTATTAAATGGATATAGCTGATTATGACACACTAATTTTATCTTTTGTTTGTGTGTGTGTGTGTGTGTGTGTGTGTGTGTCCCTTTTTTTTTTTTTCATTATACTTTAAGTTCTGGGATACATATGCAGAACATGCATGTTTGTTACATAGTATACATGTGCCATGGTGGTTTGCTGCACCCATCAACCGGTCATCTACATTAGGTATTTCTCCTAATGCTATCCCTCCTCTTGCCCCCCACCCCCCAACAGGCCCCGTTGTGTGATGTTCCGCTCCTTGTGCCATATGTTCTCATTGTTCAACTTCCACTTATGAGTGAGAACATGCAGTGTTTGGTTTTCTGTTCCTGTAGTAGTTTGCTGAGAATGATGGTTTCCAGGTTCATCCATGTCCCCTGCAAAGGACATGAACTCATTCTTTTTTATGACTGCATAGTATTCCATGGTGTATATGTGCCACATTTTCTTTATCCAGTCTATCATTGATGGGCATTTGGGTTGGTTCCAATTCTTTGCTATTATGAACAGTGCTGCAATAAACATATGTGTGCGTGTGTCTTTATAGTGGAATGATTTATAATCCTTTGGGTATATACCCAGTAATGAGATTGCTGGTCAAATGGTATTTCTGGTTCTGGATCCTTGATGAATCGCCACACTGTCTTCCACAATGGTTGAACTAATTTACACTCCCAGCAACAGTGTAAAAGTGTTTCTGTTTTGCCACATCCTCTCCAGCATCTGTTGTTTCCTGACTTTTTAATGATCACCATTCTTACTGGCGTGAGATGGTATCTCATTGTGGTTTTGATTTGCATTTCTCTAATGCCAGTGATGATGAGCTTTTTTTCTATGTTTGTTGGCCATATAAATGTCTTCTTTTGAGAAGTGTCTGTTCATATCCTTCACCCACTTTTTGATGGGGTTGTTTTTTTCTTGTTAATTTGTTTGAGTTCCTTGTAGATTCTGGATATCAGACCTTTGTCAGATGGATAGACTGCAAAAATTTTCTCCCATTCTGTAGTTTACCTGTTCACTCTGATGATAGTTTCCTTTGCTGTGCAGAAGCTCTTTAGTTTAATTAGATCCCATTTGTAAATTTTGGCTTTTGTTGCAATTGCTTTTGGTGTTTTAGTCATGAAGTCTTTGCCCATGCCTATGCCCTGAATGGTATTGCCTAGGTTTTCTTCTAGGGTTTTTATGATTTTAGGTTTTACATTTAAGTCTTTAATCCATCTTGAGTTAATTTTTGTATAAAGATATAAGGAAGGGGTCCAGTTTCAGTTTTCTGAATATGGCTGGCCAGTTTTTCCAACACCATTTATTAAATAGGGAATCCTTTCCCCATTGCTTGTTTTTTCAGGTTTGTCAAAGATCAGATGGTTGTAGATACGTGGTGTTATGTCTGAGCCCTCTGTTCTGTTCCATTGGTCTGTATATCTATTTTGGTACCAGTACCATGCTCGTTTGGTTACTGTAGACTTGTGGTATCATGGCTTTGTTTACCCTGTGAGGGGAAAACCGCCTACTCAAGCCTCAGTAATGGCAGATGCCCCTCCCCCTACTAAGCTCGAGCGTCCCAGATGGACTTCAGATGACTATTCTGGCAGCAAGAATTTCAAGCCAGTGGATCCTAGCTTGCTGGGTTCCGTGCGGGTGGGATCCGCTGAGCAAGGCCACTTGGCTCCCTGGCTTAAGCCCTTTTTCCAGGGAAGTGAATGATTCTGTCTCTCTGGTGTTCCAGGAGCCAATGGGGTACCAAAAAAAAAAAAAAATAGCTTGGTGTCTGCTCACATGACCACCCAGTTTTATGCTTCAAACCCAGGGCCATGGTGGTGTAGGCACCCGAGGGAATCTCCTGGTCTGCAGGTTGCGAAGAACATGGGAAAAGTGTAGTGTCTGGGCTGGAGTGCACCCTTCCTCATGGCTTCCCTTGGCTAGCGGAGGGAGTTCCCCGATCCCTTGCGCTTCCCAGGTGACACAATGCCCCACCCTGCTTCAGCTCTCCCTCTGAGGGCTGCACCCACTGTCTAACCAGTCCCAATGAGATGAAACGGGTACCTCAGTTGGAAATGCAGAAATCACCTGGCTTCCGCTTGGTCTCAATGGAAGCTGCAGACAGGAGCTGTTCTTATTCGGCCATCTTGCCTGGAAACCCTCAATTTTATGTTTAATAGAAAACAAAGATTTTATTCACGGAGAACAGCTCATTAGGGTTCTTGGGATGAGGAGGAATAACATCAATTACAAATATAATAATAGCTAACACTATTAAGGATTTGCAGTGTAACAATTTCTCAAAGTGCTTTACATTTGTTACGTTTTTTAATCCTTATAATAATTCAATGGGATAGTTAATATTTGTATCCCCATTTTATATATGAGGAGACTGAGGCACAGAGTCACAAATAATAAATAGTACAAAAGATGTCAGGCCGGGCGCAGTGGCTTACGCCTGTAATCCCAGCACTTTGGGAAGCTGAGGCGGGTGGATCACTTGAGGTCAGGAGTTCGAGATTAGCCTGGCCAACATGGTGAAACCCCGTCTCTGCTGAAAATACAAAAATCAGCTGGGTGTGGTGGCACAAGCCTGTAGTCCCAGCTACTTGGGAGGCTGAGGCAGGGGAATTGTTTGAACCTGGGAGGCGGAGGTTGCAGTGAGCCAAGATGGTGCCACTGCACTCCAGCCTAGGAGACAGAGCAAGACTCCGTCTCAAAAAAAAAAAAAAAAAAAAAGATGTCAAACTTGGGTAGTAAGAATCTAAAGTACTCTATATTAAGAATCTAAAGTATATTGTTGCCCTAGCTGTAAAATTAAGTGAAAGATATTTTTATTTATGCGCAGAGAAAAGTTTCAAATATATCTTATAGGGGATAGGATTAAACCAAAACATTTGTACATTTGTAAGAACAGTTATCCTGTAGTGTGGGAGCCATCACATAAGATCACATAAATGTTGGTTGGTGAATGAATGCTTTTATTATGAGAAATACTAATGACAATTGTGGTGGTATAATAATAAATTATAAGGAAAGTAGTAACAACAATTTACAATTCTTCCAAATTGTAAAAGAGAGAGATTACTCTTATAGTAAATCTTTCTAAAAATGAGTCAATTAAAATATATTTAATTTCATGCCTCTATAACTTCCAAAACTCAAATACTGTATAATGTAGTAAAAAATACAAATAATACAACAGCAAATTCACTTAGAGAGGCAGCACCACATAGACTACTTATATTTAGGTAATGTTATATGGAATAAACTGAGGAAGAAAGATCTAAGATAATGATCCAAATGAGTGTAATTTCTAGCTCAAAAAATGGTTACAAATATTATTATAGAAAACATTGACAATATTTGTAGATGCATGGCAAATAAGGGAACAGTTTTTGAAAATATGGTAAAACTAATGACTTTGCACTCAACTACAGTCAACTCTTAATTAACTGGCCTAATTAGGGTGAGGTGAGGAATAGATAAACAGAAAATCACAGATTACCTAGAAGTGGTTAAAACAAAAGTAATTTAAAATATGACATAAGTAAATTTTTTAATAATCTAGTATTTTGGAACACAGTTCACAGATATGATCTGAAACTGTAAAAGTAATACAAGTACTTTTATTTAAGATCACATGAATCATCTGCCCAAAATTACTGGGCTGTTAAACAACTTTTTTTTTTTTTTTTTTTTTGAGACGGAGTCTCACTCTGTCACCCAGGCTGGAGTGCAGTGGTGCAATCTTGGCTCACTGCAACCTCCGCTTCCCAGGTTCATGTGATTCTCCTACCTCTGGAGTAGGTGGGATTACAGGAGTGCCCCACCGCACCCAGCCTTAAACAGCTTCTTGGTAAAGATCTTCGTATTCATCAGACTTGAGTTAACCAGACACATGACTCTTTTCTCTTTATTTGCTCTCTTACCTGAATTCTACCAAAATCCTTTGCTCTGTGATATTAGAATACACCTATAAGGCTGTATTAGGCACCTCTGTGTCATCTATTGGTTACTACAAATGTCTTTTGACATGTGGGTATTTTATTGATGTATAGAATTTTAATGTGTTCACAAATCTACTCTCTGTGATTATTACTTTAGTTATCTTCTACCAGAAAATGAAGATTTGAGTATCCATACAAACATGTAGTCATTTAGAGAAACTCTTGGTCAAATTTACCTTTGCTTTGCTTCTGTAAAATTTATCTATAAATTTTCCATGTTATTGATTTTTTCATAAGTTTAATAGATAAGACTGCAATCTAATTCTGTATTTAGTTGGATAGGACTAATTTGCTTTGTTTCTTCTAAAGCACTCAAATTGGCTAGTATATCTACCTAAAAATATCTGCTAAATTGAATTACTAAACTGAAGTTGTTGAATTTCTGAGTTACAAAATAAAATTAGAAGCAAACAAACTCTCATGTCTTGGTACCATTTTATAGTTATTGGGAAGAAAAATAAAGTTTCAGTAATTTAGTTTTAGTTACCTGAGCAAGGTCTCCCAGAAGCAACTCAGTAGAGCTAAGACTAGAAATCAGGTAAGAACTCTTATGTTAGTGTTGTTTCATATCCTATCGGCATTTTCAAATTTTTTTATAATAAGCTTTATTTTTAGAACAGTTTTAGATTTACAAAAAAGTTGAGAACATAGTACAGAGTTCCCATATACCTCATACTCAGTTTCTCTTATTATTAAAATCTTACATCAGTGTGGTATATTTACTACAATTAGTGAACCAATATTAATACACTATTGTTAACTAAAGCCCACAGTAACTTCAGGTTTTTTTTTGTTTTATCTAATCCAGATCAATTTTACAAGATGTTTATGAGTGTTGTTGGGGCAGAGGGAGAAAAATGTATCTTGTGGTAAAATAAATTTAAGAAATGCTAAGTAAAAATTAGACATATTTCTTACCTGAAAAATTCAGAGCCTTTAAGATGTATAATTTAAATCTCAAAGTAGAGTCTAAAATGTGTTATGTTTCCCAAAATGCTTGGGTAACTGAACTTTTATTATATAGAACACTTCAAAGAACTTCTGTTCTGAGGAATACCCTTTGGAAAATTCTGCACTACACTATGGCCCATGATATTAACTTAGACTGGATTAATTTAGATATAAAATTGGTAAAACTCAATTTCATTAAGATAATCTCTTAAAGGATGGCTGAGAAAGTGTTTAGTTCCTAGAGGTGGCTATTGAATGAAGGTTAAATCTACTCTCCTGACCCAGCTCCATGGTAACTAACTCTTCTTGATGTTTTACTCTCTGACTGTAGCTAGAGCTTAATTATACAAAGTCTCAACAATTAAACATTCAAACATAATCCATTAAAAGAGAGAAAGATGATATCAAGTATTTTTTAAACGAAAAATATCCATGGAATTTTAGAATAATCTCTTCAGAATCACAGCACAATGAGAACTCATTCTCAGGATGGTCACCAAAGATGTTACATTTTGATCTGCAGCTTCTGTTTATCAAGTCAGGAAAGTATAAGGATATATTTTGCAATAGTTTTTAGGCAACAGTTTTTGCTCAGTTATCCAGTTTTAAAAAATACTGTTAACTATACCAAGGTTAGCCCAGAACATTTTAGTGAATTCTCTACTGAAGGTTGCAGATTTCTAGTGAATAGAAACATGTGGTCCTCATCAAGTAGTTATGATACCTATGTGGACTGATGCATAATCAGTACTTTTATATATATATATACACACACACAAACAGATATACATACATATTCATGAAGATCACAGAGCAGAAAAATGAGTAGTTACGAAAAACCATAGAATTTGCCATCACATTAAAATTTACCCAATATTAATTCATCATTTGTATGTTCATCTCACTTCAAATACAAAGAGAAAAACATTTCAGTATATAAAATCAGAGAACATTATTGAATTTCATGTGAGATTTTCTAGCCACATTTTAAAATAGGGCAAAACAATAGAAACATTCAACTTATCAAGTAAATCTCAGAATTGTATACTTTTCCCAAGAATGACTTTTAAAGCACCAAATAATTAAGATGTTATGTTAACATGAATAATTTCATAAGCAAATGGAAACCACAGAAATGCAGTAATACAGTTCTCAGCCATTGTTGTTTGATAATTTGCATGGTTTAGGCTTTTCAAATTAAGCAATACATAGCATTGATGAAGAGTGGATGATGTGAGCAGAGCCACACAAGCACTGTCCCTCCCTGACTCCAGCAATAAGACTGATCGGGCAACAGGAACCTGCCTCAGTGAAGTGCTTTAGCCCGGGCAGTGACTGCATTAGAGATGCTGGAAACTCTGACTCATGTTTTTGTGGCTTCTTTTCCCCTCTCTTGAGGCACAGAATAGAACAGAACAGAGAACAGAAAGCAGAAAGAAAAGGGGGGAACAGAGGAAGGGAAATTTCATAACTCTCTAGAATATTTCATTGTTCAACTGTGGTCATACCTTATTTCCATGGGAATAAGTAGTCTGAGTTGGTTGTGCTTGGGATTCAGAGCCTCTACTACGCCAGAGTAAGCACACACTTCACCTTTCCCCTGTTAACATAGTCTAGCCTCACCCTGGCCAAATATTGAAAAGTACAAGACTTCTTTCTAAAGTATCTGAATCCAGTGCACACTTTCTTGCTAACAGACAAATTCTCTAAGTGCTGAAGGAATTCTGATGGGGTTTTTAATTTTATTAATTCAAACTAGTAATGTTTACTCATTTGTTCTAGACAGTGATCATACATTGTTCCTGCCAATTGTTTGATGCTTGGAGGGGCAGAGTCATAGAGAATAGGTAATATTTCTATCTATGGCCCTTCCATAAACAGTTCTGACAGATTCCACACTATATTCAACACTCAGGGGCTGCCAGCTTTCCCTAATATAGCTCCCTGAATATACTTACAGTTTAGCTGAGGGATTAACAAATTCACAAAATCTATATTTCTTAAGGCAAAATAGGATTTGTGTCTTAAGAGAACTATAAAGAGAATGCTTTTTAATTGAAAGTCTTTTAAGAGACTCGTAAGCAGAGTGTCACAGACCAAGGTTGGAAGCCACATTTAGTTGTGATTATCAGAAAGCTTTACATCCAAGTGGTAAGAATCTTGAGTTGGTGAATGGTGGAAGCAAGGCAGAATCCCTGACAGAGAATGACAAATTCAGAAGCACAGAGATAGAAAGAAAAAACAATTATTTAGGAGCAGAAAGCATTTATTTTTAGTTGGAACATAGCATGTACTGGGAAGGTTGAGAGAGAGAACTGGAAAAGTAAGGTGAGAGCAAGGGAGCATTTTATGTATACACCTGTTTACTACATGTACATACTGTAAATATTGGCTTTCTAGAACCATATGGAATTCCAGACGGAAAATTCCAGATGAAATAATCAAATAGCTTAGCGTTAACACTAAATGATTGAACTTTATATTTTCAGTTTTGGGACAAAAGTTTTTATGAAGCACACAATATACTCTGTATCTTACCAGAACATATTATATATTCCTCTTCCATGGAGCCCTAAAAATTCCTCAAATGTATTTTGGAGGACCAAGAAAAAGTTGTTAAATGAGAGAATGTTCCTCCTATTGCCTCTCCCTCATTCCCAGGGCAGTTCAACTTTTTACTGTTTTGCTTGTTAGAAGATATCTACAATATTTCATTTGAAGAAAGTGTTCCATCAATAAAACAAAGCTTGAGCCCTGTAAGAAATTCTTGTGTAGTCATATTACTAAGAAAGTACTTAATCATTCTCAGCATTCCATTTCATTTAATATAATAGACATAAATATCATGGAGAGATGAATGGATAGAAACAAGCACATGGATGGAGAGAAATAATAGTATTTGGTGTGGGATCTTTTCATGAAAAGTTGTGTATGCAGGAATAAGTTAATAACATATTATAAAATTGGGCCACTTTTAACCATTTATATTTTGGGGGGAATAGAAATCTTATTTTATACGTGGATTTAGCCATTTACAAAATAACTTCCCAGGTTCTTAAGAAAGATCAGTGCCAAATTTTCTCTACACTTTTGTACAGGTTTTGTCCTTAATTCAAAGGCTCCCTTTAAAAATATTCCTCTTTACATTCTAAGAACATGTAGGTACTTGTAATATTTGGCATGTGTTTTACCTAACAAACAGAAAAGGATTCTTATTAAATATATATTTCCCAAAATTAAAATAACAGTGAATATAATTCTAGTTATATTTTTAAAATAAAATGTTTCAAACTAACATTTACTCTTTATATAATCACAAATCACTCATTAATATTTAGATTGCACAATTATTTAATATTTGTCCTATTTAGTCTCAATTCATAATTATTTCTGTTATCTAATATTTTTAATCCAAATATCCAAATTCCATTTCAAATTTTTATACTCGTGTAGGAATTCATGACATGAGAACCATATTTTTCATTTATTGCACAGCAAGGAACAAATCCTTAGAGAATATCATCCATAGAAATATAATTTGCAGCCCAGCACGGTGGCTCACGCCTGTAATCCCAGCACTTTGGGAGGCTGAGGTGGGTGGATCATGAGGTCAGGAGATCGAGACCATCCCAGCTAACATGGTGAAACGCTGTCTCTACTAAAAATACAAAAAATTAGCCATGCACGGTGGTGGGTGCCTCTAGCCCCAGCTACTCGGGAGGCTGAGGCAGGAGAATGGCATGAACCCGGGAGGCGAGCCAAGATCATACCACTACACTCCAGCCTGGGTGACAGAGCGAGACTCCGTCTCAAAAAAAAAAAAAAAAAAAAAAAAAAAAAAATATATATATATATATATATATATAGGCTATGCTGGCAATCACATTAATTTAACAAATATTGAAATATCGACACTGAAATTTTCACTGGGCTTTATTAAGCCATTTCTATTAACATTTAAGGGAATGTGGTTTCCATATGCTTTTGAACAGAATTATATGTGGGTCTTCTAGAAAATGGATTAGGCTGGGCGCGGTGGCTCACGCCTGTAATCCCAGCACTTTGGGAGGCCAAGGCGGGTGGATCACGAGGTCAGGAGATCGAGACCATCCTGGCTAACACGGTGAAAACCCGTCTCTACTAAAAATACAACAAAAAATTAGCCAGATGTGGTGGCGGGCGCCTGTAGTCCCAGCTACTCAGGAGGCTGAGGCGGGAGAATGGCGTGAACCCGGGAGGCGGAGGTTGCAGTGATCGCGCCACTGCACTCCAGCCTGGGCGACAGAGTGAGACCCGTCTCAAAAAAAAAAAAAAAAAAAAAAAAAAGGGATTAAGGTTTTAGGAACAAAAGGGATTTTTAAAATATACCATCTATCACATCTCTGCAGTTGTTGACTGGAATAAGTACAATGTGAAAGTACCACAAGTTAGTAAGATTTTAAAAACTAATCTTTATGTTATGGGACATTTAGAGAAAACATAAACGTGTTCAAAATATTCTTTTATGCTTAATAGTATACATTTTCTTTTAGTATATTCAGGAATGACAAATAATTAACTACCGGTGAATATAAAATAGAGTGTCTGACCTCAGGAGCTTACATTCCTGTTGGGGATAAAAGATGTAGTCATATTTAAAGATAACTGCCCAAGATCTTATATCTTATGCGGTAAAGGCATCTGGCTACAGGATCTCAAAAATCCCTTTAAGCTGAAGTGATGGGGGAAGATTTTAGGAAGCAGTAAGAATATTTTTTGGTCACTGCATTAATGGGAGAGGACTGAAGCTGTAAAGAGGAGGAGGAGGCCATTCAACTAAGAGGAGCAAGATGAGCCAAAGTAGGGAGGCTGGATCTACTCCATGTGTTTACTAATTTGTCGAGGCTTGATTGGCTCCAGTGAGAGGTTTCTCTAGGAGAACAGCAAGAGTCAGAGCTAAATAAGGAGGATGGGCCAGATATGGAGAGGGTGATCAAGAAAAAGAGCCTCCTGGCAGTACTATAAGTTTCATTATTATTATATAATATTTTCACATTTATTCTGTGTACCTTTCTGCGGCAAACAGAATAAGCTTCCCCATCTCCCTCAGAAAAGCCATCAATTTCCATTTAATGCCTGGAATCTATGGTGACATGTGAAAGAGGAAGGCATAATGCGATAGGCTGAATAATAGTCGCCAAAGATAATCAGGAGTGACTCCCTAGAATCTGTGAATGTTAGCTTTTACGGTAAAACGTATTTTGCAGCTGTGATTAAATTAAGTATCTGAGATGCAGGGGTTATTCTGGATTATCTGGATGAACCCTAAATGCAATTATAACTTTCCTTATTAGAGGGAGGAAGAAGGAGACTTCAGAGAAAGAGGCCGTGTGATGGAAGCAAAATCAGAGAGAAAAGATGCTAAGCTGCTGCCTTTGAATAAGGAGGAACGTGAGCCAACAGATCCAAGAACTGAAGCTCTAGGCAGTGGAAAAGCCAAGGAAACTGATCTTCCCTTCGAGCCTCCGGAGGGAGTGTAGCCCTGCCAACACCTTTATTTTAGCCCCATAACAGTCATTTCAGACTTGTGGCCTCCAGAATTTTAAGAGAATAAATTTTTATTGTATTAAGCCATCAAGTTTGTGGTAGTTTGTGGTAATTTAGCCATAAGAAACTAATACACATAAGGAATTTGATGCTCATAAAGTCATAGGAAAGCCAGCACTGGGCTCTAGCAGGCCGGTGAGAGTGATCCACATTGGCTGCCATTAGAACACAAGAAGCCGGAGGATGAAGAGAGGTTGATTGATGGGTACAAGCACACAGTTAGGTAGAAGAAATAAGACGTAGTGATCAAAAGATCACCAGGGGACTATAATCAACAATAATCTATTGTAATTTCAAAATAGCTAGAAGAGAATTAATTTGAATATTCCTAGCATTAAGAAAAGACAAATATTTATGGTGATGGATATCTAAATTACCCTAATTTGATCTTTATACATTATATGAATGTATCAAATTATCACATGTATACCCAAAATATATACATCTATTACGTATCAATTAAAAAATAGAAAAAAATCCTTAGAACCTTTGGCCACAGGAAATGAAATATTTTAATTTCAATTTATAAATATATTTTGTGGCAGAGAAGTATAATAATGTCAGCAATAAAAGACTTTCAACCATAAAAAAATTACCAACAAAATTTATCATCTAGTCATTTTGGTAGAGTTTCTCATGGAGCAAACATCAGAACAAAAAGTTGTATCTGTATCTGTTTTATATATATTATTAAACTCTTAAAATAATGCATACCACTATTTTGTGCACACTAATTTAAGTAGGCCCTTTATTCCAGATATAGTTTCTGTACCTATTTCTTCTTTATAATAAAGGCTATTTATTAAATATTCAATATAATATCAATAATTCATATAGCCTTTTAATATATTTTATAAAAGATTCATAAATATGGAAAGAAAGTCTTTTGTGAAACTGAAAAATGTAAAAGAACGCAAGAAGCCATGCTCTAATACAGTCACCAGGAAGCTCCTCTGCATGGCAGCCTCAAAATTGGTAAAGGGGCCTGGGAACATATATTCTGCCACCACCTCTACCACAACTGCCTCTTGCCACACAGAAAGCTGAAGAATAGGCACAGAAATCTGCTACAGAAAACCCTCTCATATTCTATCAAGACTTTGCTTGTTGGGGCTAAAAAACAAAAACAGTAAAATGAGTTAAGAGGATACCCTTTGCCTTACTTTCACCTTCAAAATATCTCAATAATTTCACAGAGGAGACTGAGAAATACAATTTTTAGCTTTCCAGTTTCTACAGTAGCAAAAATCATCCTAGAAAGAGAGTGTAATGAAAGAGGAGCAGGTAAATCCACAGAATTTACACAAAGAGTTTGAGGTTATTAGACCACTCTAGGCACTATCATTCCCTATGTTTTTATAGAATTACTTTCTAAGCAATATAAATTAATAGAATTAACCATGGAGAGATCACCTGTTGTGTGAGGAGCATCATATTAGGTCAAGATGGGAAGATACATTAAGAAAGCCTTAACTTCTGCTCTCTAAGAGAGTACCTTAATACAGAAACAGAACTGATACCTGCATAGGGTTAATACAAATTAAATTATGTTTAGGAATGCTCCGTGATAAAAATGAGTTGGAAATGAATTTAGGAATTTTTCACATGGGAGGAGAGTTTTGAAAGAAGAGGCTTTCTCTGAGAGGAGAGGGAAATGCATTTCTGGGTGGTAGAAGACAGCTTATTGGCAGTATGGAGGCAGGAGTGAATGTGTTCATATGTGTGATTATAGTTGGTTGGTACAGGAGTCAGCATGGAGAAGTTGTGGAAATGAGAGTGCTAAGATGCACGTAGTTGCTAAGTAGCCAAGAAGCTCAAATTGAGGAACTGATTTTTCTTAGTGAAATTGTCTTGACTTTAGTAAAGTCATTGGACTAGGCTCTGATAAAGGAAGTTAGGAAACAGAACACTTGCAAAATTCATTTTGCGGATGCTGAGTTGGCACTCAAAGGGCAAAAGGCAAAACTCTTAAATCTACTGCTGATGAGATTTGACAGAAACCATGCCAAAAAATGTCTCTTTTTTCTTTTCTTTTCTTTCTTTTTTTTTTTTTTACAATAAAAGTAACAATACAGGTGGTCAAAAAAACAAAAACCATGGTATAGAAAAACCATAAATTGAAAAGTAAAAGCTTTTCTTATATTCCACCCTGCCTCTGAATCTTCTGTCCTAAAGATTGCTGCTATTAACTTTCTTACGTATCCTTTAGAAAGCACTTTTCTGACATAAGGATCATGTATTAATGTACACAGAAGGGATCATGATATATGCACAGTACTGTCCCTGTCCATTGAAATCTTCTAATAGACAACACATTTACATCTAACCCATTCTTGGTAATGAGATTTCAAAAAAATCTCGTTGTATAGACTTTCCATAGTACATGTAACCAGTTTACTGCTGTAGGATATTTATTGGGTTTTTTCCCCCCAGTTTTTACCTATTTGCCCCATTTACCTCTCCTGGCTCACATCTGATTACAGCATGATTTACTCAATATATTAGGCCTACTGTGGAGACATACTGCTCAGAAAAAAAAGATTCCTTTCATACTTTTCTCCCCAACACTAACTCTGCTCCAGCCACGCCAATCTCTTACATATTTGTCTAACACATCAGCTGTAATCCTGCTTTTTGCACGAGCATTCCTCTGCCTGGAATACTCTTTAGATATTGACTTGCTTCCTCCTTCACACCTTAGTTTCTGTTCCAACTTCTCAGTGAAGCTATTCTTGATCACAGTATTTAATATTGTAACCCCATCCCACTCCTAATATAATTCCCTTTAAAATTTTTCTCTGTAGACCATATCAGTCTCTAAAATATTATATTCTAATTGATTGTACTCGTCTCTTTTCATTAAAATATAAGTTTTATAAAGACAGTAATGTTGTATGTTATTTAATTACTACATAGCTTTCTGAGTAAAGAATTTCTAGACATCTTGTGTCCAACCAAGAACACAATCTTTACATCTTATTCTTCATTAATATTATTTTATTATTATTTAATCTCATTCTTGCTTCAAATACCTCCCCTTTCATTCTCAGATATATCCTAGCACTATAGATTTTTCCTTTAATAAATGTTACTTCAATATATATTCCTTGTAAAGCAAAGTAATAACATGTGGTAGGCACTAATTTAAAAAAATTGTATCAGTCAAATAAATAAATTATAACCCTTTCTCTAACAAAGGGATGTAAGTAATGCTGTTCTATACTTTGATAATTATCCTTTAACTTGATTTTTAGATAATTGTTGCCTAGTTAAAGAAAACCATTTGGTTGCACAAGGAAACATTCTAATTGTAGGTGAAATTGACATAGGATGTATATTAGTCCAGATTCTCTACATCCATAATGGAAAGAAATAGTAATGACTGCAGTTAAAATGTAAATGATATACATGATAACAGCTTTCAATAGGCAGTGTTATTTAATACAGGCATAATTCATTTTATTGTGCTTCACTTGTGGCACTTTGCAGATATGGCATATTTTATAAATTGAACATCTCCGGCAACCCTGTGTTGAACAAGTGTGTTGGTGCCATTTTCCCAAAAGCATGTGGTCACTTTGTGTCACTGTCACATTTTTATAATTTTCACTATACCTCAAACTTTTTATTATTACTATATCTGTTATGGTTATCTGTGATCAGTGATCATTTATTTTACTATTGCAATTATTTTGGGGTGCCACAAACCATGCCCATAAAATATTACAAACTTAATCAATAAATGTTGCATGCATTCTGACTGCTTCATTGCCTGGCTGTCTGCTCATGTCCCTCCCTCTCCTCAGGCCTCCCTATTCCCTGACCCACAACAATATTGATATTAGGCCAGTTAATACCCCTACAATGGCCTCTAAGTGTTCAGATGAAAGGAAGAGTTGCACGTCTTTCATTTAAATTCAAAAGCTAGAAATGATTAAGCTTAGTGAGGAAGGCAAGTTGAAAGCCAAAAGTCAAAAGGTACGTCTCTTTCACCAAACAACCAAGTTGTGAATGCAAAGGAAAACTTTTTGAAGGAAATTAAAAGTGCTACTTCAGTGAACACATGAATGACAAGAAAGTAACACAGCCTTATTGCTGAGATGTAGTTTGAATGGTCTGGATAGAAAAATCAAACCAGCCCCAAAATTCCTATAAACCGAAGCCTAATCCAGAGCAAGGCCCTAACTCTCATCAATTCTGTGAAGGCTGAGAGAGGTGAGGAAGCTGCAGAACAAAAACTGGAAGCTAGCCGAGATTGGTTTAGGAGGTTTCAGGAAAGAAGCCATTTATAACAAAAATGCAAGGTGAAGCAATGAGTGCCAATGGAAAAACTACAGCCAGTTATCCTGAAGATCTAGCTGAGATAATTGATGACAGTGGCTACACTAAACAAAATATTTCCAGTGTACACAAAACAGCCTTCTTTTGGAAGAAGATGCCATCTGGGACTTTCATAGCTAGAAAGAAGTCAATTCTTGGCTTCAAAGAACAGGCTTTCTTGATAGTGGCTAATGCAGCTGGTAACTTTAAGTTGAAGCCAGTGCTCATTTATCATTCTGAAAATCCTAGGGCCCTTCAGAATTAAGCTAAATCTATGCTGCCTTTGCTCAAGAAATGGAACAACAAAGACTAGATGATGATACACCTGATTATAGCATGATTTACTGATTATTGCAGGCCTACTGTTGAGACCTACTGCTCAGAAAAAAAGATTCCTTTCAAAATATTACTGCTCATTGATAATGCACCTAGTCATCCAAGACCTCTGATGGATATATACAAAGAAGTGTGTTTTCATGCCTGCTAACACAACATTCATTTTGCAGCGATAGATGAATGAGTAATTTTGACTTTCAAGTCTTATTATTTCAGAATTACATTTTGTAAGGCTACAACTGCCATAGATAGTGATTCCTCTGATGGATCTTCGCAAAGTAAATTGAAAATGTTCTGGAAAGGAGTCACTGTTCTAGATGCCATTAAGAACATTCATGATTCATGGGAGGTGGTAAAATTATCAACATTAACAGGAGTTTGGGAGAAGTTGATTCCAATCCTTGTGGATGATTAGGGGGTTCAAGACTTTGGTGGAAGAAGTAATTGGAAATGTGGTAGAAGCAGCAGGAGAACTAGAATTAGAAGTGTAGTCTGCAGTCTTACAGTAAAATTTGAATGGATGAAGACTTCTTATGGATGAGCAAAGAAGGTGGCTTCTTGAAATAAAAACCACTCCTAGGAAGAAACTGCATCAACTAACGAGCAAAATCACCAGCTAACATCATAATGACAGGTTCAAATTCACACATAACAATATTAACTTTAAATATAAATGGACAAAATTCTGCAATTAAAAGACACAGACTGGCAAGTTGGATAAAGAGTCAAGACCCATCAGTGTGCTGTATTCAGGAAACCCATCTCACGTGCAGAGACACACATAGGCTCAAAATAAAAGGATGGAGAAAGATCTACCAAGCCAATGGAAAACAAAAAAAGGCAGGGGTTGCAATCCTAGTCTCTGATAAAACAGATTTTAAACCAACAAAGATCAAAAGAGACAAAGAAGGCCATTACATAATGGTAAAGGGATCAATTCAACAAGAGGAGCTAACTATCCTAAATATTTATGCACCCAATACAGGAGCACCCAGATTCATAAAGCAAGTCCTGAGTGACCTACAAAGAGACTTAGACTCCCACACATTAATAATGGGAGACTTTAACACCCCACTGTCAACATTAGACAGAACAACGAGACAGAAAGTCAACAAGGATACCCAGGAATTGAACTCAGCTCTGCACCAAGCGGACCTAATAGACATCTACAGAACTCTCCACCCCAAATCAACAGAATATACATTTTTTTCAGCACCACACCACACCTATTCCAAAATTGACCACATAGTTGGAAGTAAAGCTCTCCTCAGCAAATGTAAAAGAACAGAAATTATAACAAACTATCTCTCAGACCACAGTGCAATCAAACTAGAACTCAGGATTAATAATCTCACTCAAAGCCGCTCAACTACATGGAAACTGAACAACCTGCTCCTGAATGACTACTGGGTACATAACGAAATGAAGGCAGAAATAAAGATGTTCTTTGAAACCAACGAGAACAAAGACACCACATACCAGAATCTCTGGGACGCATTCAAAGCAGTGTGTAGAGGGAAATTTATAGCACTAAATGCCTACAAGAGAAAGCAGGAAAGATCCAAAATTGACACCCTAACATCACAATTAAAAGAACTAGAAAAGCAAGAGCAAACACATTCAAAATCTAGCAGAAGGCAAGAAATAACTAAAATCAGAGCAGAACTGAAGGAAATAGAGACACAAAAAAACCTTCAAAAAATCAATGAATCCAGGAGCTGGTTTTTTGAAAGGATCAACAAAATTGATAGACCGCTAGCAAGACTAATAAAGAAAAAAAGAGAGAAGAATCAAATAGACACAATAAAAAATGATAAAGGGGATATCACCACCGATCCCACAGAAATACAAACTACCATCAGAGAATACTACAAACACCTCTACGCAAATAAACTAGAAAATCTAGAAGAAATGGATACATTCCTCGACACATACACTCTCCCAAGACTAAACCAGGAAGAAGTTGAATCTCTGAATAGACCAATAACAGGCTCTGAAATTGTGGCAATAATCAATAGTTTACCAACCAAAAAGAGTCCAGGACCAGATGGATTCACAGCCGAATTCTACCAGAGGTACAAGGAGGAACTGGTACCATTCCTTCTGAAACTATTCCAATCAATAGAAAAAGAGGGAATCCTCCCTAACTCATTTTATGAGGCCAGCATCATTCTGATACCAAAGCCGGGCAGAGACACAACCAAAAAAGAGAATTTTAGACCAATATCCTTGATGAACATTGATGCAAAAATCCTCAATAAAATACTGGCAAACCGAATCCAGCAGCACATCAAAAAGCTTATCCACCATGATCAAGTGGGCTTCATCCCTGGGATGCAAGGCTGGTTCAGTATACGCAAATCAATAAATGTAATCCAGCATATAAACAGAGCCAAAGACAAAAACCACATGATTATCTCAATAGTTGCAGAAAAAGCCTTTGACAAAATTCAACAACGCTTCATGCTAAAAACTCTCAATGAATTAGGTGTTGATGGGACGTATTTCAAAATAATAAGAGCTATCTATGACAAACCCACAGCCAATATCATACTGGATGGGCAAAAACTGGAAGCATTCCCTTTGAAAACTGGCACAAGACAGGGATGCCCTCTCTCACCACTCCTATTCAACATAGTGTTGGAAGTTCTGGCCAGGGCAATAAGGCAGGAGAAGGAAATAAAGGGTATTCAATTAGGAAAAGAGGAAGTCAAATTGTCCCTGTTTGCAGACGACATGATTGTTTATCTAGAAAACCCCATCGTCTCAGCCCAAAATCTCCTTAAGCTGATAAGCAACTTCAGCAAAGTCTCAGGATACAAAATCAATGTACAAAAATCACAAGCATTCTTATACACCAACAACAGACAAACAGAGAGCCAAATCATGAGTAAACTCCCATTCACAATTGCTTCAAAGAGAATAAAATACCTAGGAATCCAACTTACAAGGGATGTGAAGGACCTCTTCAAGGAGAACTACAAACCACTGCTCAAGGAAATAAAAGAGGACACAAACAAATGGAAGAACATTCCATGCTCATGGGTAGGAAGAATCAATATCGTGAAAATGGCCATACTGCCCAAGGTAATTTACAGATTCAATGCCATCCCCATCAAGCTACCAATGACTTTCTTCACAGAATTGGAAAAAACTACTTTAAAGTTCATATGGAACCAAAAAAGAGCCCGCATCGCCAAGTCAATCCTAAGCCAAAAGAACAAAGCTGGAGGCATCACACTACCTGACTTCAAACTATACTACAAGGCTACAGTAACCAAAACAGCATGGTACTGGTACCAAAACAGAGATATAGATCAATGGAACAGAACAGAACCCTCAGAAATAATGCCGCATATCTACAACTATCTGATCTTTGACAAACCTGAGAAAAACAGGCAATGGGGAAAGGATTCCCTATTTAATAAATGGTGCTGGGAAAACTGGCTAGCCATATGTAGAAAGCTGAAACTGGATCCCTTCCTTACACCTTATACAAAAATCAATTCAAGATGGATTAAAGATTTAAACGTTAGACCTAAAACCATAAAAACCCTAGAAGAAAACCTAGGCATTACCATTCAGGACATAGGCGTGGGCAAGGACTTCATGTCCAAAACACCAAAAGCAATGGCAACAAAAGCCAAAATTGACAAATGGGATCTAATTAAACTAAAGAGCTTCTGCACAGCAAAAGAAACTACCATCAGAGTGAACAGGCAACCTACAACATGGGAGAAAATTTTCGCAACCTACTCATCTGACAAAGGGCTAATATCCAGAATCTACAATGAACTCAAACAAATTTACAAGAAAAAAACAAACAACCCCATCAAAAAGTGGGCGAAGGACATGAACAGACACTTCTCAAAAGAAGACATTTATGCAGCCAAAAAACACATGAAAAAATGCTCATCATCACTGGCCATCAGAGAAATGCAAATCAAAACCACTATGAGATATCATCTCACACCAGTTAGAATGGCAATCATTAAAAAGTCAGGAAACAACAGGTGCTGG
The DNA here is from genome assembly GCF_000001405.40 of Homo sapiens. Taxonomy (NCBI): domain Eukaryota; kingdom Metazoa; phylum Chordata; class Mammalia; order Primates; family Hominidae; genus Homo; species Homo sapiens. The sequence continues at coordinate 83,319,718 of NC_000005.10, forward strand.
AGAGGTTGTGGAGAAATAGGAACACTTTTACACTGTTGGTGGGACTGTAAACTAGTTCAACCATTGTGGAAGTCATTGTGGCGATTCCTCAGGGATCTAGAACTAGAAATACCATTTGACCCAGCCATCCCATTACTGGGTATATACCCAAATGACTATAAATCATGCTGCTATAAAGACACATGCACACGTATGTTTATTGCGGCATTATTCACAATAGCAAAGACTTGGAACCAACCCAAATGTCCAACAATGATAGTCTGGATTAAGAAAATGTGGCACATATACACCATGGAATACTATGCAGCCATAAATAATGATGAGTTCATGTCCTTTGTAGGGACATGGATGAAATTGGAAACCATCATTCTCAGTAAACTATCGCAAGAACAAAAAACCAAACACCGCATATTCTCACTCATAGGTGGGAATTGAACAATGAGATCACATGGACACAGGAAGGGGAATATCACACTCTGGGGACTGTTGTGGGGTCGGGGGAGGGGGGAGGGATAGCATTGGGAGATATACCTAATGATAGATGACACGTTAGTGGGTGCAGCGCACCAGCATGGCACATGTATACATATGTAACTAACCTGCACAATGTGCACATGTACCCTAAAACTTAAAGTATAATAAAAAATAAAAAATAAAAAAATAATAAAAAAATAAAAAAAAAAAGAAATAAAAACCACTCCTGGCGAAGATTCTATGAACATTGTTAAAATTACAAAAAGGGATTTATAATATCCATAAACTTAGTTCATAAAGCAGAGGTGGGGTTTGAGAATATTGACTCCAATTTTGAAAGAAGTTCTACTGAGGAAAAAATGCTGTCAAATAGCATCCCCATGCTATAGAGAAATATTTTGTGAAGGGGTCAATCAGTGTCATGAACTTCATTGTCTTATTTTAAGAAATTGCACAGCCACTTAATACCTTTGGCAACTACCACCCTGATCAGTCAGCAGCCATCAATATTGAGGCAAGACCCTGCACCAGCAAAAAAGGTTACAACTTGCTAAAGGCCCAGATGATTATTAGCATTTTTTAGCAATAAACATTTTGAAATTAAGTTATGTACTTCTTTTTTTTTTTTTTTTTTTTTTGAGACAGAGTCTCGCTCTGTCACCCAGGCTGTAATGCAGTGGCATGATCTCAGCTCACTGCAACCTCTGCCTCCCATGTTCAAGCAATTCTTCTGCCTCAGCCTCCCAAGTAGCTGGAACTAAGGTGCCCGCCAACATGCCTGGCTAATTTTTGTAGTTTTAGTAGAGATGGGGTTTCACCACATTGGCCAGGCTGGTCTGGAACTCCTGACCCTGTGATCTGCCCGCCTCGGCCTCCCAAAGTGCTGGGATTACAGGCATTAGCAAGTTATGTACATTTCTTTAGACATAATGCTGTTGCACACTTAATAGGCTACAGTGTCATGTAAACATAACTTTTTCTGCACAGGGAAAGCAAAACATTTATGTGACTCACTTTATTGAGATTTTGACTTTATTGTTTTGGCATGGAACCAAACTGGCAATGTATGCAAAGTGTGTCTGTATTCACTAAATAATAGTTTTGAACTTTATGATTGCAGTAAGTTTATATCAGTTTCACTTCAATTTTTTAGGGTTGCATAATTTGCCACAATTTTCATCAGATATTTTGGAATGATGTAGCAGAATACATCAAGAAAATCTCCAGTTCTTTTGACAATTTTTGTTAGAGCTTTTTGATTCTTACCCTCATGGAAATACTTGTGTATAAATATAGAAAATCTCAGATTAAATTATTTTCTTGGTAGCCTTGCCTGTTCCTATTAAGCCACAGAAAATATTAATAAGGTGAATATGTTAACTTTATTTTTCAAATTATTGTTAATCTCAGCATACTATGAAGAACATGAATGTACTGTACACACAAACAACTTGATGTCTCACTAAATGAAAGACACATGTGCATTAGATCCATCTACCTTTCAGGCACAGTCATGGGGTTTTTAACTCCACAACATTAACTGGAATTGTGGAATACAGATAAGATCATAATTGCAAAGATGTGATATTCCCTGAAGAATTTTTTATCTATGATCAAAATGCAAAAAATTTAATGTGTTATGGTAATGTTCCTTATTATCCATGATTAAGTCACACCAAAATGGCACAAAGACCAGGAAACCAGCCAAGCATTCACTGGAGGCATTACTCAGTGTCTGAGAGATTCAGTTGATTTATATGAATTAAGGAATATTTTACTATCTAGTATGTATCATTTAAAATAAAACAAACCTTCTAAAGATGATAATTGTAAACATTTGAATTGTGTTTTTAATTGGAAAAGTAATGAGCTTGTACTGTTAAGCTGTTTCTTATTTTATGTTCTATGCTTTCACAATTTACATTTACTTACTTGTAAATTGTGTTATCTGAAGAATTTTTTCCATATCTGATGTCTGCATAACTCCGGAATATTGTTAGACATTTAATAGGAACCTAATTATAAAACAAATTTATTTACTATGTATGCCATTAAAAACATTACAATTAGCCTGTTTAAGCCTCAATGTATCTCAGCGCTGAACTCTATCAAATGCTATGAACTCACAATTTTCCATGACTTTATATGCAATTAAAGACCTCAATGAAATTATTTATGTTTTTATCCCCCAATTATATAGTACCTACTCTGTGCCAGGCAATATGCTGTGGACTGAAGGTACCAACATGAATAAGATAACTTTCCCTCACTGGGTGTGATAGGCTGAATAACCACTCCCTCCATCTCCCCCAACCGCCGCATGCGCATGTCCTAATTTGTGGAACATGCGAATGTTATCATATGGCAAAGACTTTGTGGGTGTGATCAAGTTAATGATTTTGATTATCCTAGGATTATCCTGGATTACCAAAGTAAGCCCAAATACAATTACATAGATCTTTATAAGAGGGAGGCATAGAGAGATTTGGCACAGACAGAGAAGAAGGCAAAGTGACATTGGAGGCAGAGATTGGAGAGATGTGGCTCCCAGCCAAGGAATGCTACAACCACAAAAAGCTGGAAGAGGAAGGAACAGATTCTCACCTAATGGCCTTGGAGGCAATGCAGCCCTGATGATACCTTGATTTTATTCTGGTGTTACTGATTTCAGACTTCTGGACTCCAGAACTATAAGAGAATAAATGTGTGTTGTTTTAAACAACCAAGTTTGGGTAATTTGTCACAGCAGTCATAGGAAATAAATGCACTGAGGAACTCAAAGTTTAATGAAAGAGACAAACACAAAAAATAATTGTTATAGTACAGCAAGAGCCCTATTCGAAGTATGTGGGAGCGGATGGGGAGCATGGGTGGAGTATTGACTCTGATGGATCTAGTTCTTTAAAGCTACTTAGAAGATCTGAACTGAAGCTTGAAATAAAATAGTGTTTTCCAAGCAGGGAAGGGAGTACAAAAATGCAGAAACCAAAAAAATATGGTGAGTTTTATAATGCAAAATGGTATTTTGAAATGCACAGTTTAAATCAGGAAATAATTAGCCCTAAAATAATTTTCATTGATTTTAAATTTTTGATTACTCATATTTATCAAAAAAAAGTATATGGCTGTAAAGTATCCTTGGAAAATGTAATAGTAAATATACTACAAATAAGAAAATGAATATTACAGCATTACAAATGATTTTCTATCATTGCTTGTTGCTGAGGATTTTAGAGAGGTTGTTACACAGAAATGTTAATTAAACCATATCAACAGTACCATACTTTAATCAGTTGGAGAGAAATTATTTATTCTAGTTATAAAAATAATTACCAATTCCTCAAATTATAATAAAAATAAAGCAACAGTTTTAATAAAAATATTTCTCTTCTCTTCATTTTTTTTTTGATTAATACAAATTTTTGCTTAGATGTTTTTGGCCAAGTGCAAAATAAATAGAGGTCATTTTTCTTGTGTTCTCTTGTGAGAGTTGAACAGTAAAAGTAGTAAGGATGTATGAACAAAAATATCTGATACTGTGTTTGGAACTAGAAATTTTGCAGACTAGACAGAACTTGGGTGAGTTTTGAAATATGTTTTCAAGGTTAATTTCACTATTTGAGGAAGAGAGAATGGTAAAGAAAAGATGTTATAAGCCAAATGAAGATTTACTGTGGTATAGATCAGGTATCAGTGATTTAGCAATGAAACCAAAGGAAATGATAAATTATAATATGAAGGACAGTTTGATTATCCAGAGATGATAGGATAAGTTTATATCAGTTTCACTTCAGTTTTTTAGAGTTGCATAATTTGCCACAGTTTTCATCAGATATTTTGGAATGATGTAGCAGAATACATCAAGAAAATCTCCAGTTCTTTTGACAATTTTTGTTAGAGCTTTTTGATTCTTACCCCCATGGAAATACTTGTGTATAAATATAGAAAATCTCAGATTAAATTATTTTCTTGGTAGCCTTGCCTGTTCCTATTAAGCCGCAGAAAATATTAATAAGGTGAATATGTTAACTTTTTTATTTTTCAAATTATTGTTAATCTCAGCATACTATAAAGAACATGAATGTACTGTACACACAAACAACTTGATGTCTCACTAAATGAAAGACACATGTGCATTAGATCCATCTACCTTTCAGGCACAGTCATGGGGTTTTTAACTCCACAACATTAACTGGAATTGTGGAATTCCTGTTTGTTTTTATCAGTGGTCTAAGATAACTCTTCTATTGATCAAACATTAAAAATATTTTATTCATGTAAATATCTTTGTCAATATCCTTATCCTTGTCAATAGATGTAAGAGGAAAAGTAGAAAGTGTTGATCAATATTTTGGGATTTCTTTTTTTAAGTACATAAGATGCCATTGGCTTTTGCCATTTCTGTAGCTTTTTAGTGTAGCTAAAAGAAGGAAAATATAGTTTTTAGTATTCTAGGAAGACAGACACATACTTGAATTCCATACATGTTCATGCCAGTGGGGTATTCCTATGGCAGCCTTTGTTTCCTCCCAATACATTCTAATGATTAGCCCTAAGACTCTGCTAAGATTGTGAAGTATTTGACATTAGGTAGTACCTTAGGGAGAGTAAAGATTTTGATTGACTCAAGATAATATGCATAGAATCACCATGCAAATTCAAGAACAAAGCCACTTTATAAAAGCAAACTAAAAGTAATTTGAAAATAGACTTACTGGGAACTCAGAAGATTTACCTCAGTCTCAGGTGATCATGTAGAATGGACGGCCTCCCCACCTTTGGCTACTTTGGGAACCCTTCAAGTGATTTTTTTAAAGTTCCTTCCTAGAACAATGTAGCACAATCCCATCTTCTTTGGCAGGTAGGTGTCTCCTATTTTATTCCCTAGTATGAGCTTTTGCTAGTCAACATTTCCCTTTTGCAATGAGGCTGGAAATGTTTCTGCCTCCTAATAAAAGCTATCACATATTTGAGCATGCTGTTTTTTAGAGTCCATGACCTTATCTGCTTTCAGCCAGATTCTCTTACTACTTATAGGCAATTTTCTTCCAAATTTCATTTTATTTTGTTATTATTCATAATGGAATCTGTCCTTAATTTTTTTCTTTTTTCCTATAAGTTTTATTTTAAGTTCAGGGGTACATGTGCAGGACATGCAGGTTTGATACATAGGTAAATGTGTGCCATGGTGGTTTGCTGCACAGATCATCCCATCACCCAGGTATTAAGCCCAGCATCCATTAGTTATTCTTCCTGATGCTCTCCCTCCCCCAACACCCCTCAACAGGCCCCATTGTGTGTGTTGTTCTCCCATTGTGTCCATGCGTTCTCATCATTCAGCTCTCACTTATAAGTGATAACATGTTATGTTTGGTTTTCTGTTCCTGCATTAGTTTGCTGAGGATAATGGCTTCCAACTCTGTCCATGCACCTGCAAAGGACATGATCTCATTCTTTTTTGCGACTGCATAGTATTCCATGGTGTATATGTACATATTTTCTTTTTCCAGTCTATCATTGATGAGCATTTAGGTTGATTCCATGTCTTTGCTATTGTGAATAGTGCTGCAATGAACATATGCATGCATGTATCTTTATAATAGAATTATTCTATTTCTTTAGATATATATACAGTAATGGGATTGCTGGGTCCGATGGTATTTCCGGTTCTAGGTCTTTAAGGAGTCACCACACTGTTTTCCACAGTGGTTGAGCGAATTTACACTCCCACTAACAGTGTAAAAGCATTCCTTTTTCTTTGCATCCTCACCAGCATCTGTTGTTTTTTGACTTTTTAATAGCCATTCTGACTAGCATGAGATGGTATCTCATATGTTAGTTGGCTGCACTTATGTCTTCTTTTGAGAAGTATCTGCTCATGTCCTTTGCCCAGTTTTTAATGGGCTTGTTTGTTTCTTCCCTGTAAATGTGTTTAAGTTCCTTGTAGACTCTGGATATTAGACCTTTGTCAAATGGATAGATAGCAAAAATTTTCACCCATTCTGTAGGTTTTCTGCTAACTCCAACGATAGTTTCTTTTGCTGTGCAAAAGCTCTTTAGTTTAAGTAGACCCCGTTTGTCAATTTTTGCTTTTGTTGCAATTGCTTTTGGAGTCTTTGTCATGAAATCTTTGTCTGTTGCTATGTCCTGAATTGTATTGCCTACATTTTCTTCTAGGATTTTTATAGTTTTTGGGTTTTACATTTAAGTGCCTAGTTTACTTAAGAGTTTTTCAATACCTAGTTTATTGAGAGTTTGTAACATGATGTCCCTAATTTTTTAACCATGATTAAAAGAAATTTTAAAATCCTTCTAACCAAGCTTGAGCCATATAGCATTTAATATTCTTTATGGGAAAATTTGTTTGGGATCTATATATTCTACTAACATGACATTTTCCAGGCTTTGAACTACAATATGGTTTATTTCTTGAAGTTTTGCTTTTACAAGTGTAATTTTGACATTGCATAATGTGAGTTTTTTGTAATGTACAGTTACATTTCTTGTATTCTTATAGCAACCAAGTCGTGCCAGAAAGCAGCTTGTAATCTATTTCTTAAAGATTGTTAAGAGAAGTAGAAAATCTAAAGAAGCATATTAAGCATCCCTTGACAATTTGACACTAGCAAACTGCCTTCCTCAATTGCTTGTCCCCATTCCCAGAGGATTGCTAAGGAATTCTTATTGCTGTTCCGTGAATATATATTTCACAATGAACAATACGCTGTTTTTAAAAAAATTGCTTTTTTACACCTAATGGCATACACCTGCACGTTAATCAGAGATAAAAGCTCATCATGAATATTGAATTGCTAGAAAATGCTCTTCAGGGGAAATATTTCTATCTATATTTTTAAACTTGTTTGTTTTGCTTATTGAAGTGTAATTAACATAAAGTAAAATTCATGCTTCTTAGGTGTATAGTTCTGTGAATTTTGACAAATTTATATAGTCAGGCTGGGAACATTTCCATCATCCTAAGTTTCCTTATAATTATTTGTAGTCAATCCTCTTTCCCCACACCCAGCCCTGGCAACTGCTGACCTGATTTCTATCTCAAGAGTCTTGCCTTTTCCAGAATGCTGTATAAAATCCTACAGTATATAGCCATCTTGAGTCTGGCTTCTTTCATGTAGCATAATGCCTTGAGATTTTTCCATGTAGAAATATATCAGTATGTATCATTGCTTTTTTATGAGTAGTAGTCCATGTGGGGATGTACCACAGTTTGTTCATCTATTCATTCACCTTATAAAATGGTTCACTAGTAATAATTTCATTATTATTAAATTTAGCTGTTATTTTATGTATTCTTATACAAAAAGGTAACTATATGGGGTGACAGTTATGTTAATTAGCTTGATTGTTGTGGTTATTTCATATTGTATATGTATATAAAATTTTCAAATTGTATACCATAAATATATACAATTATTTGTCAATCAGTTATCAATAAAGCTGAAAAATATATGATGAAAAAGTTTAATTTATTTCAGGAAGGACTAAATATACCATGATGATTAAAGGAGTAAAACCTCAATTAGTGCAAAGAAGTTTAATAAAATTCAGCACTCAGACATAACAAAATGTCTTTGCAAGCTAGGATTTATGAGAATCTTCTCATGTATACAACACACAAACACAAGAAATAGAAACACTTCTTCTCAACAAGATGCCCATGATCACTACTTCCATTCCATACTGTATTGGAGGTCCTAGCCAGTGCATGCATAGCACAAAAAGAAATAAAATATATAAGTCTTGAAAAGAAAGAAACTTTTCAATATTTCTATTAGTCCGTTTTCATGCTGCTGATAAAGACATGCCTGAGATTGGGAAGAAAAAGAGGTTTAATTGGACTTACAGGTCCACATGGCTGGGAGGCCTCAGAATCATGGCGGGAGGCAAAAGGCACTTCTTACATGGCAGCAGCAAGAGAAAATGAGGAAGAAGCAAAAGCGGAAACCCCTGATAAACCCATCAGATCTTGTGAGACTTATTAACTATCAGGAGAATAGCATGGGAAAGACTGGCCCCCATGATTCAATTACCTCTCCCTGGGTCCCTCCCACAACACGTGGGAATTCAGGGAGATACAATTCAAGTTGAGATTTGGATGGGGACACAGCCAAACCATATCAATATTCATAGTGCATATTATTGACTACATAGAAAATTCAAAAGAATCTATAGGTAAATACTTTGAATTAATAAGAATATTTAGCAAAGTGGCTTGATACATGACAAAAATGCAAAAATTACTGCATTTCTATACATCAGCATCAGAGTTAGAAAATACTTTCAAAATATACAAGGATTAAATAATAAAAAGATGGAGCAAATTGTAAAATTTAAAGGACAGGAATATTCAGTATCTTAAAGATTTTTATTCTTTCTCCATTATTTGTAGTTTCACTTATTTGTCATCAAAATTCTAACAAGATTTTGGCAAGCTGTTTCTGAAATTTACATAGAAGAACAAAAGGCTAAGAATAACCAAAGCAATTCTGAAGAAGAATAAAGTGGGGAAACTTTATCTACCAGAATCATGACTTATTATATAGGAATAATAGTAAAGCAAGATATTAGCACTGGGATAGACAACAGATAAAGGAAAGAATGGAGCAAGATACTCATGCATATATACAAATTTGGCATATGGCAAAAGTAACAATAAAATTCACTAGAGAAGGAATCAACTATATAATAAAAAATATTATGACAATTGAGTTTTTTATTTTTAATTTTTTAAATTTTTCTTTCAGAGGTAGGGTCTCATTATGTTGCCCAGACTGGACTCCAACAACTCCTAGCCTCAAGCAATTCTCCCACTTAAGCCTCCTTATTAGCTGGGACTGCAGACATGTGCCACTGCACCCAGCAAGTTGATTTTTTATTTAAAAAATAATGAAATTTGATCCCCTCCTCACACCTACATGAAAACAAATTTCAAATGAATTTAAAATGTGAATATAAAAGGCAATAGTTTAACACTTTTGGAAGAAAACACAGGAGAATATTTTTAACGTCTTAAGAGAACATATTCTTAAATAAGGCTGAAAGAGTGCAACCCCACAAAAGAAAAATGTATAAATTTGACCACATTAAAATAAGAAGTGTTGGTACATCAAAGAACATTATAAAGAAAATGACAACCCATGCAGTGAGAGAAAATATTTGTAACCCATATAGCTGACAAAGAATTTGTATTCTCTAAGTCGATTAAATAAAAGCCAAGAAAACAATAGTAAAATGGGCCAGAGACTTAATCAGACAATCCCAAAAGGAAAAGCACAAATAGTTTTGAAACATATAAAAATATGGCCGACATCATTACTTCTCCATAAAACACTTATTAATTTTAAAGGGTACAAGAGAAACTTTTCAGTAGAAAAGCATGGTAACCTTGTGATCAAAATCAACATCATCAGTAATGGTACAAATTGAAACCATACACCACCTTGATCAAATGCAATAGGAACACAGCAGCACTTCTGTAATAGTCCTACCAAAGGTGCACAACTTTAATCAAAGCATGAGGAAATCTCAAACAAACTCAAATTAAGTACATTCCATTAAATTAACTGGCCAATTATCATCAGAAGTACCTCAAGAAATGACTGAGGAACTAAGGAAGAAGCCTAAAGTGATGTAACTGCTAAAGTATTGTGTGATTTGGGACATTTTGAGGTAAAGGACATTAGTGGAAACTGAATGGAGGTTGAAAATTAGATGGCAGCAATGTATCGATGTTAATTTTCTGTTTTGACGGTTGTATTGTGCTTAAGTAGGAGAATGTTTAGAAGGACATTTATGGTCACCAGATAACAAAACTATTCAGAAGTAACACGGGCATCATATTAGCAACTTATTTTCAAATAATACTCTTCCCATAACTTCTTTCAACATAAAAGGGAATTTTTTAATTCTACAAAAAGATATAATTTTAATCATTTTGGCAAATATTTAAAGTTCTGGCAATATGAGGTATTGAAGAGGAATTGATCCACAGGAACTCTTATACACTACTAAAGGAAGTGGAAAACAGTATGACCCAGGAATTCATACTATGCAAAGAGAAAATCTAGTACATATGCTCCAAAAATTCATATTAAAACATTCATAGCAGCATTATTTTTGCAAAATAAAATAAACTATATAATTATACAAGATAGTATTACACAACATTGAAAATTAAAAATATTTATAGATGAATCATAGTTTCTTAATGGTGAGTATAAGAAGAACACTAGCTACAGTGATTCCATTTTTATAAAGCTCAAAAATAAAGCAGCATTTATACAAGCTATTATTTAGTTAGGTATATGTATACATGTAATAAAACTTTTCTTTTTAAGGCAAGAGAATGATTAATGCACAGTATAAGAGAGGGTTATACTTATGTGGAGAGGCAGGGGGAGCAGATTGGATATAACTACATTGGTAATTTTGGGTTCTTAGGTGGTAGCTTTGCAGGAGTTTAATATACTATTATGCCCTATAACATGTATATTACATATTATGTCTATTATAACTATATGTATCAAATATTACATAAAATATTTTTGAGTAATTGAAATCATTGAGGAGCAATTTAAGATAGCAGTTTTGGGTTTTCCCTTTTAATGCTGGTAAGAAAACATTTTAAGGCTGGAGAGAAAGGGGAAGACATAGCAAGATCTATCTGTCAGGACATTTTTTTGACTAACATAGGCAAACAGTAAACACAAGAAAACCCTGGGACTGAAAAATTAAAATATTTCTTGGTATTATATCCCAGGGGCCCTGGTTATTTGAGACTATTTAAAACCATCCCTACCTACCTCATCATTAAAATACAGCAGGAATAGGTAGATGCAATACTCTAGTCATCTCTGATGCTGTGTGCCCTCCTGGTGTAGTTTAACCAAAGTTCTCAATAGAAGTAGATTCTGTTGTGCTGATTTTTTTGTTTGTTTTAAAGAGTCTCTCTGAAGCAGAAAAACTACTCCAAAAAGTCTTTGCTCTTAAGTATAGAGTTCCATTTCTATTTATCAGATGGTGCTCCAACACATGAAGAAAACAAGCAAATTGATTATGTAACAAGGTAGACAACTTTATAAACACAGACTAGTGACCCTTGGAGCTCTAAGATTCAGTGTTATAAAACATAGATGCTTCCTGACAGCTTTTTCATGTACTTTGTTTGCATTGAATCCATATATATGGTATTGGAGAGGAATTGATCAACAGGAACTCTTACACACTGCTAAAGGGAGTGGAAATTAGTTCAGACACTTTGAAAAACAACTTGGCACCATTTTGTAAAAGATGTTAAACATTCACAAATAGTATGACCCAGGAATTCATACTATGCAAAGAGAAAATCTATGTATATGGAGTCAGTGCAAACATTTAAACTATAAGCAAAAGAAAAATTTCATATCGAGCTCACATTCTGAGGTACTATAAATGAATGTTTACCCTGCAGTCATTGATTAGGTAGATAAAAGTTGTGTGGTCACTAAACATTTTATTTCCTGTTGAAATAAAATTCTTTGAAATGGAGGTGATAGAATGTAAACTTTATTGGCACAACTTTTCCTAGTAAGAAGCAGCAATAGATATCTGTCACAAAGATAATTGACTGAAAAAATAAAATAATCGCTTCATCATAAGGATAATAGAGCAAAGCAGCAGCAGAAGAGTTGATATCTGAACATCTCCAAGTACCCGTTTTTGTATTTTCCACTACTTCAGGATGGATAGTACCAAATGACTTCAACAGAAGTGGAGTGAACCTGTTACTAATAAACCTGGGACTGATGTGTAATTACGTTTTCAGTGATTCATCTGTGAAACACCCTGGGTTATTTTACATGGAAGCATCTGGTTCACATGTGTCCAGTGGTTATTCTGTGGTGACTGACATCTGTATTCTTCTAATAAAGTCCCAGTTGCACAGATGTGAGCTGTTGCCTTCTTATAAAGACAGAACTTACAATTGAAAAATCCTAAGCTTAAACTCTTCTTGAATATGAACATTTCAATCTTCTACACACACACACACACACACACACACACACACACACACACAGAAAGAGAGAGAGAGAGAGAAATGGACCACTTGCACTGTGTCTGGAACGTAATATAAATATTTCATGCAGTGTCTTTCAATCATTGGACATATGTATGTAGGCACCTTTATCTCTTTTTATGTTTGTTTATAGCATAGCATCTGTTTTAGATTGTAAGCTCAAAGAAGGCAGTCCATGTCAATTTAATATTATACAGACAGTGTCTAGAAAAGCATAATTCACTTTTGAGTGCTTGCTAAGTATTTGTCAATCAAGATGGTGATGTTAATGACTTTCAGGAAAAATGGAGTTTATAATCTGACTGTAAACACCTTTTGCACTATAAGAGGTAAATGCTGTACATGGACTTGCTTCTTATTTCACTCATTATCATTAGACAGGTAACGCCTAAAACTTTGTTGTTTTGAGAAAAATTTATTTATGTTAGAATAATCCTCTAGTGATGTGTGATATATGAGATTTTAAAGTGGCAGACTTCAAGGCATGTTTCATGAGGGAAGTAGCATTTTAGCTCAGCCTTCGAGGGTAAATAGAATTTGGACACATAATAATGAAGGGAAAAGAAGGAGAGGCCATTGGTGAAGAGCATGGAGGAGACAGGCAGGCATGGGTTCAAGTCCTTCCTTGGCCAGTAAGTTATGAGACCTCAGTGAATCAGTACGATATCTAAGGGTTTGCTTTCTCATCTGCAAAATAGACACATATTATTGTGACAATTACATACATAACAAGCTTAAACACAGCATTTGGCCTAAGGAGAACATTTAATACTTGTGGACAGCTGTTACTCTTAGGACAAATTAGCCATTTTGAATAGACTTTCAACAGAATTTTGAATATTGAACTTGAAAAAAAAAATACTTGGAGGGAAACTCTGGGCTATGTGTGAAGATCTAAAACTTCTAATGGAACTCTTATTTGCACAGAGAAAGTCAAGGTCCACTTCTTAAGACATCTTTTTCCGTCTTAAGTTAGTCTTCAATTACATGTGTGGCAGAGTGACATCAAAGTATAGTCATGTATTCTCAAATTAAAATGTCAATACCATAATGAATAAAATACTTTCAATGTGTGAGTTACTTTTCTTTCTTAGTCCTTTTATTTATCTTCTGCATGCTAGACTTGTAAGTATTGTGGGCTCTGACTCTGAATCCTATGAAAAACTCCTGTTTGCCTTATTTTCAAGTTAATAATAACCATTTATTTTATGTGTAAGAAAGAGTTTGTCCTATACACTTGCATAAGCAGACACAAAACACTTATCATCTGTAATAGGTCATGTGACCTCCTCTAAATTCCTCAAAGAGAAATTAACAAAAATAACACTCAGTGTATAATATTTATGAGGTCCACTTCTCATGCATAGTATCAAAACTTTTTATCACTGGCAAGGAAGGGGGACAGTGATCTCTAAAGAGAAACCTAAAGAATTTATAACCACGTTCTATTTTGGTAATATGCAAATATTTTACTAAATACTCTATTCCTCCAAGATTTAAACCTTTTTTTTTTTTTTTGGGAGATAGAGTCTTGCTCTGTCGCCAAGGCTGGAGTGCAGTGGCACAATCTCAGCTCACTGCAACCTCCACCTCCCAGGTTCAAGCGATTCCCCTGCCTCAGCCTTCCAAGTATCGGGGATTACAGGTGTGCGCCACCACGCCTGGCTAATTTTTGTATTTTTAGTAGAGACGGGGTTTCACCATATTGGCCAGGCTGGTCTCGAACTCCTGACCTTGTGATCTGCCCACCTCAGCCTCCCAAAGTGCTGGGATTACAGGCATGAGCCACGGTGCCCAGCCTAAACCTTTTTTTTCTTTCCAGGTTTATATTTATAGGAACAACCACTGTGATAGTTGTTTCCATTAATGTCTTTGTATCTATGTTGTACTTTAATCTTTCTATAGGAAAAATCACATCATATCAAAATAGAACTTTCATTTAAAAATAATTTAATTTCCAGGTAGTGAAAAAGCATATATGCTACTCTCTTGGTTGTAAGAACTACTTCTTACTCTAACATTCCTAGGAATAAAAACTTCCAGGAACTGTAGTGTTATAGTTAACTATTATCCATTAGAATTCAACAGACCAGTTACCTTAAGAACATTACCTAGAAAGAGTATATTCAAGGATGTTCATTGAAATGTGGTTTACAATATGGGCATTTACCTTGTTTATGATTTTTGACTGTGAATAAATAATCAGTTATATTTTTAAGGTACCTCAATGTAACGGAATAGTATGAGGTTATTGAAAATGATCAAACTATTATGTAGACCTGTAATTATTGACAAAGGAAGATATTCACCAACAAATTATTAAGGGAAAAAATGGTATAAACTCTTTTATAATACAACTACTTTTAAAAATATTATGTACATACGTACATTATATGTATGTGTGTGCATATATATATATATATAAGATAGACACTAAAATATCAACAAGTGAAGGCACAGATGATTATCTTTATTTTGTCCTTTCTATTTTTCTGACTTTTCTAAAGTTTTTGCAATGCATATGTAGTGATTTATATACCAAAAAATAAATAATTTTTGTGGTTACTGGGATCTGTATAGGATTTAGAATTTCTGTGGTGTTTGAAATCTTACTCTTCTTAAGAAATGATAAGGGAAATTCATTATTTGTTTTTAACCTAATATTTATTTTAAGTAGTAACTGTTTCACCTAAAGAATATTTATTTGATTATGATTCAACACTCAAAATAAATTAAGGAGTTGAGAGAAGACAGAAAATTTAAATTTATGACTTTGGGTGAAACCTAAAAGCTGTGCTATTCTCCTCTGTCCTGAAAATACAATAGAATTTTAGACCTAGAATGGACCTTCAAATGCAGAAATTGGCCTGTTAACCCACCCTACCTAAGTTTTAGATATTTGCATTGGGTTTGTTTGGATTAGAATGGTCTATCATTATTGTAATAAAATAAAATTAAAATATAAAACTTTTTCCTTAAATATATGGTGGCCTGATATAGCAATCAACTCAATTTTCGTTAAGATAAAAATTGCTCAGGAAAACAATTATTATTGTTAGAATAATAATTACTTATAATTATTAACAACAAAGTATTTTTTACAAGTTATGGGAAATTGTCACATAGTACACATTTAATAGTATTTTATGTGTAACATGAGAAATTTTTTGTACATATCTACAAATACAAAAAAGCCTTCTGTAAGAGAAGATGTGTTCCTGTCATTAGATTTAGAACTTGAAATGGATTTTTAATCCTATAAATCAGTACTTTATACATTCTTCACTGTAGCATATTATAATTAATTGTTTAATATATTTTTGATCAACTAGATTGTGAGATTTTCAAGGACAGGAGTGTTGTTTATCTTTTCATCTCAGAGGCTAGCACAATGCCTGACATTTAGAAAATATTGGTTGAAGTAAGGAATATATGAAAAACAGGATTTTACAATTGAGTTGACTATTAGTTAAATTTTTATAATTGCTACCTCTAATAGCTCTTCTATATCATAGACTAAGTAGTCTTTATAGAATGGTCTGAAAATATCTGTTATTTATAACATTTCTGAAAAATCTGTCCTGAGTTTAAGTTTAAAAATAAGCTTTTTTTAAAAGAAAAAAAGACCATTTCTTAAGTTGCAAATCTCCTGTATGTGGAAAACTACACATAAGCAACCATGGTTCCTGCCTTCTGAACACTTAATATTCTTACAGATGAGTTTTTTTTAATTGTTCCTTTTAGTCACTTCCAAATTACATTGTTACAGAAAAGTGTTCAGTGATAAAAATAGGAAATATTGAACATCCTTTTTCTCTTACAATATGACAAATTGGCCTATTTTTATAGAAGGCAATAAAAGAATATACTTTAGCCATTTAAAACATTAAGATTTAAGTTTTTATCATCTGTAGAAGCCCAATAACATTTTGAAGGGAATTTTGGAAGTTATGTATATTTTAAGGGAAATAACGATCAGACTGTTGAATTCAGCTAAATATTTTCTGTGCATATTTATAGCCTGTTCAGTTTTCATGGTTGTCTTTTCGGGCTGCATGTGAATTTATGTATGACAACTTTCCTAATTCCAGACAACTTTTAGAATTTCTTGGTTTAACATTTTAATTTCTGTTTATGCTTTCTGATTTTTGAAATCTGATTCTTTTTCTTGGTTGGTTATTGATTGTGAGATTGAGGGTAATAATTTCCTATTGATAATGGGGTCACATTTCAGAATAAAGGATGTCTAGAGCTGAAGACTTTATTTCAGCTTTCACTTACTTAAATTATCAAGAAAGAAGTATGATTGCTTATTTGCCCTGTTGTTTCTCAATAGCCAGATATAAGAGATTTAAATTGACTAACATTCATAAACCTTTAATAATAATAATTTAATGAAGCGTAGGTTAATAGAAAACTCAACTAACTAGTCTTCCAGTAGTTGGGTTGTGAGTGTACGTGTGCTTAGAAGTTGACCAGCATTTGTTAGTGAGACTTTTAGCCATTAGGTTTGAAACGCCATTCATTTAACCACAACTTTCTCTTCCCAATCATTCCAGTAGGGTGGGATATAACTAAGTTAATGGTGTTAGTGTAAATTTGTAAACATTTAAATTTATAAACATCCAAAACTACTTGAAAATAAACAATTGAAGTTACCTCATAATGGAAAGTGAGCCAACTACTGACCAGCTATAGTTGTCAGAAATTAAAATTTCATTTCTGAGCCAAAAATAAGGTTTAAATCTTTTTCTAAGTGATAGCATTTCTAAAAAGTTTATAATGTTGTCCTTTGATTTAGAATGGATTTTATTCTGTGTAAATTGTATATGAAACTTGCTATAGCTTTTTTCACACTCAACTCTAAGAGAAAAAAGGCAAATACCCTTGACAAGAGGATTTTTGGTAAATTTATTCAACAGAACCTCAGTTCTTTATTATAAGGAACTATTCTTAATTCTGAATGAAACAATTCTAAATCATTGTCCCTGTTCTCAAGTTACTTACAATATAAGTAACAAAGATGTCCACAATTAAGTCTTTGGTTGACACTCCTTCCATTGAGAGGTAGTTTCAATATGTGTGGGATTTTTTGACTCATTTATAAATAGTAGAATACAGGAGAAGTGATGCTGCGTGATTTCTGGAGGCTACATCAGAAAGGGCAACTTTGTGCTTAGAGCCCCAAGTTGTTATATGTCAGACTACCTGAGACTTCCCTGTAGCAAGGAAGCCACACCAGTGTACGCTCTCCAGTGGGCAGCCCTAGTCTTTGAGGCCTTCCAACCCATCCACCAGATATGAATGAAAGAGCTTTTGGATGGCTCTCAGCCTTGTTTCCACCCCAGCTTTCTAGTGTTCTCAGCTAAGACACTAACACCTTGGAGCAAAGACAAGCCATCCACGCTGTGTCCTGGACAAATTGCAGACTCACAGAAAATACAAGCATAACAAAATGGTCTTTATTTTATGCCACTAAGTTTGGAGTGGTTTATTACACAACTGTGATTACTGGAACAAAGACTTACTTGATTTAGTATATACTATGAGTGAATAGGAGATAAGGACCTTCTTTCCTGGAGGAGTCATGGGAAGCTTCACAGAAACAATGACATATCAACTTGGCAAGATGATGACCTTCTCTCCCGGAAGAGTCGTGGAAAGCTTCACAGAAACAATAACATAAGAACTTGGCTTTGAATGATGATACTACTAAGACATCTACTAAGTAGAGAAGGTAGAAGAGTCCTAAAACTGAGGAAGCTGTGTGGAATAGCCTGGAGGCTAAGAAAGAAGAGTGTGTTTGGTGAATGACAAGAAGTTTGGTGTGGAAAGAGCAATAGATGGTTAGATCCAGAATGGTAGTCAAGAAGCTAGAAGTTGTACAATAATTTTTTTGTTATGCCAAGGAAATTTCAGCTGTAGCCTTGTAGGACTAGAAAGTAATAATCAATTTGCCTTGTAGAAAGATAACTAATTATAAGCTAGGCTAAAAGGGAAAGAAGTGAAAGACAAGGAGAACAGATAATAGTTACATACATAGTTCGGATGACAGATGATTGAGGCTGAGATATGTAGCTTTCTTGTAATAGCAAAATAAGATCAGTTAGATAACAATGGTTGTTTGAATTGGTAAATTAATTATGTATTGAATTCATATGGTCAAGGCATAATAATCAAAGGCTACAGTCCACCCTGCATTTTGGCAAATTAAATCAATGCCTTTATAAAACATTAATTTTATTAAATGTATTAATATTGCTGAATGACATCTAAAAGCTTCCTCCACTATGAAGTTTGGAGAATTATTATTTTTTAAACTCATTTTTGTATTTCTATTAAGCCATTGATTATAGCAGGACATTTAAAGAAATGAGACATTGTATCAGTTAATGCACTAATGGAACCATGTGTTATAGGCACTCTGTTCCTCAAAATGAACATCAGTTCAGAGTAAAGTCCTGAAAAAATTAGTAATTTGTGTAATCATAAAGATTTTACAGTGGGAAAATGTATATAGTGTGTTCAGTTAATATAGTTAAGTGAACATAACACAGCTGTGGTCAACGGCTTTCTGTATGGATTTGATTGACTTTTAAATAGCATTTGAAATTACTTCACGTATTTTTAGTGTGATAAATAAAAGTTCAGTAGTGACATATAACTTTTTATTGAAATCATAATACCATACATATTAGAGACTTTTCCAGGGCAAAAAAATGGCTGGATAGGTCTTTCTCCAGTAATTCTGAGCGTAGACTGTGTCCCCACAGCTTGTGTTGCCTCATCTACACAGCAAATTGCTGCCAATTGTGGAATACGGTGATCTGTTTTAAAAGCCTTCTGCCTTTCTGAACATTTTGGTTTTACTTTACAGTTTGGTTATATTTAAAACATCAATTTAAAAGTTTAATATTTTTAATTCAAAATCAAAAGTGACAGAATTTTATAGATTATTTCCATCTGACTTCTTCTAGTGCTGACCCCTTTTTAATATCTTTAAGAAAGAACACCTTCCAGAATTTGAATAGTCTTGCTTTATAGACCCACTTTTCATTCACACATGAGTCTTCTTTAAAAATTCAAGCTGCAAAAGTAACACAAGAAGAGAAAACCAAACACCACATGTTGTCACTCATAAGTGGGAGTTGAACAATGGGAACACATGGACGCAGGGAGGGGAACATCACACACCAGGGCCTGTCAGGAGATGGGGGTGGGGTGGGGGAGGGATAGCATTAGGAGAAACACCTAATGTAAATGACTAGTTGATGGGTGCGGCAAACCACCATGGCACCTGTATACCTATGTAACAAACCCGCACATTCTGCACATGTAACCCAGAACTTAAAGTATAATAAAAAAAAAAAATTCAAGCTGTAGAATTATCCTTAGTCAACCATTTCATGTAAAGCCTAGAGAAATATTCAGCAGAGCATTAAACCAAATATGAAGGCCTTCTAAGCTTGTGGCCCTGTGCGATTGACAGCACAGGTCACATTCCCATGATGGTTCTTTAACAACCAGCCTTGCTCTTTAGAACCATTGTAGTGAAACACAGCATTCTGTTTTGTTATCCCCTAGACAAGGGCTACCGTAAGTTTGTATTTAAGGGAATTCAGAAGTTCAGCATTACTTCTGCCTTGGATTGATTGTTTGCTCACTTTAAATCCCATGTGTCTAGCTCAGTCTCTGACCCACAATAGACACTCAATAAATAGTGGATGGGGAAGTGATAGATGATAGTGGTCGCGAGCCTGTCTCAATGATTCTAGTTCAGTTATCTCTAGATAAGACCCAATGTCTGTTTCTTTGAGCTATAGATAATATTACACTAACCTTGCAGATCCCTCTTCCAACCAGCTTGGGGGATTTCTTTTAACTCTGGACCTTACATGTCTTGCTCTTGCTCAACTTCTTTCTCTATTCAGTTTTCCTGAAATCTATTTAATTCAGCATATTGGAATAATAATTGGGCCCTAATAACAAAGTTAAGACTAGAGTGGTAGAATAGTAAACCACCCACCCTCTTCCCCCAGAGATGTCTACGTCTTAATTCCTGGAACCTGAGAATATGTTAGACCACGTAGCAATGGGAAATTAAGGCTGCAGATGGAAATAAGGTTGAAAATCAGCAGACCTTAAAAACAGTGAAATTATCCTGGATTATCCAGTTAGGTCCAATATAATCACAAAGGTCCTTAAGTAGAAAAGAGAGGCAGAAGAAGAAAGTCAGAGGAAGAGATAAGACTAAGCAAGCAACATCAGAATGATGTGCAGTGAGAAGGAGTCCGCCTGCCATTGCTGGCTTTGAAGTTTTGAAGACAGGAAGGGAGTGGCCTCTACAAGCTAAAAAAAAAAAACAACAAAACAGAAACAGCTTCTCCACTAGTGCCTCCAGAGAAGTATACAGCTCTGCCAACTTCTTGACTTTTGATCACTGAGATCTGTCAGACTTCTGACCTCCAGAACTGTAAGATGATAAATTGGCATTGTTCTAAGGCATTATGTTATGGTAATTTGTTGCATCAGCCATAGGAAACAAAAACAGCTCATCCCACGCTATGGTGAAACTATCCCCCTTGGTCCCAGTTTAGAAATCACTAACCTCCATGGCTAGTATTATTGTCTACCCATGTGTTTGCCACTTCTCTTGATAGCTAAAAGTAGAGTTCTGTTTTCTTTTTTGTGTATTTCTGTTTTCCTTAACTGGACCACTAAGTTTATGGTTTCAGACTAATGGATGTTGTTTTCTCAGCGAAGAAGGTAATACAGCCTATTCCAGAAGACACTAGTTTCTTGGGATGTTAATGGTGAAGAGATTGTGAGAAAAGAGGCTTCTGCCACCAGATTCATTTGGAAAACCTAGGTTAAACAAGGTTCTTTTTTCTTAAAGCACTTACAAAAATATAATGTATGTATAAGGTTTAAAAAAAAAAAACAACAACAGTTTAAGAGAATATTCAGCAAAAGTATCCCTCTCAGCTAAAATTCCTCTCAGCAGTTACCATTTACCTGTGTATCCTCCCATAGCTATTGTAGACACATGAGCACATACACACACATACACACATATATACATGCACATATGGTATAATGTATATACACACATATTCTGGTTTTCTGTACACACTGTTCTACACTTTGCTTTTGTTTTTCCTAATTAACAGGTTTCCCAATTAACAGAAATTTTAGTGTATAATATGTATATGAAAGACTAAGAGAACTTAGTGGATGGAAATAAAGATTTTCTGAACATTTGGGACCATAGATTTTTTTAGAAAATATCTTACAGAACTACCTTTTGAGACACACTGCACACAACCAAGCTGCCTTCCTCAGAAGAAAAAAACATCCTCTGGAGTAGAAGTAAGAGTTAGTGATGACCCCCCCACTCCCATTAGAATGGCCTAGTGTAAAGGGTATGGATTTTGGATTTTAACCTAGGCTAAAATCCTGGCTCCATTACCGACTTGACTGCCTGCTCACCTATGCTTACTGGCTGTGTGGTTTCAGGTACATTGCTTAACTTTACTGAGCCTTCTTATTAATACACTCTCATATATTCAATTATTTGTTATTTGGTTAATACATGCAATCAGTGGAACTTTTATGTGCTAAATATTGTTCCAAGTCAAATAAAGCAGAGTCCCCCCAACTGGAGAGGCTTCTAGGCTAGTGAGGGAAGTTTCGTTTGTAGCACAGCAAGCGGCAGTCAGCTCACAGATCACCTGGCCTGTCTTAAAGGAATAACTTTCCACCAACGTGACAGTTTTCCACTTTCATAGGCATAGATCAACAGTAGCAAATGTCACCTATGTGACTTCAAAACTTGGAATGTATGCAGGACATTTCAGGTATTGATTTTTTAAGTATCTGTGTACTTTGGTATTGATTAATGAATTACCATAACAATTTTGTTTATCTGAATAAAGTACAGCTAGAGTAACAAAATCTTTAGTCATTATGAAATTATAACATTTCTGTGTAAGTGGCCAGCATCCTTGTAGATTCTGGATATGTTTACCTTAGTGGTTGACTTTAAAATTTGAATTCTCCAGAACAGATAATCTTATTTTTAAATCTGTAATATATGTATATTTTACAGGAAAATTTTAGATTTCTCATCCTTTCCCAATGTCTATAAAGCATGTCAATTCATTTTAACATTAAGTGTATTCACTCTTTATTATTCTGCTGATTTTATTTCCATCTTCTTCCTGCTCTTGATGAATTTAAACAGCAAAGTCATATTCATTAGAAAAAGATATCTTTAGGAATTTAACTGAAAATAACAAATGCAATTTCTTTTATTTGCCATTTTGTCTGCCAGAAAGTTTCAGCTTCTCTTTTTATTTTCTAGGCCAACGAAATGACGTGTAGGCCTAGTGAATTCCAGGCAATGTTCAGCACTGGTTTTACTGAATCTGGATGACTTCAGTCTGTTAATTTATTTAGGAGATGGTTTTGGTTTTTATAAGGTCAACTAGAAATTTGTAGGCTACTTTTCCCACTTATTCTAAGATCAAATTTTTTTTAATACTAACATTTAAAATTTGAAAATACAGTGGTAACTTTGGTGATGTCAAGTCTTTAAGCACATTATTTAAAACTTTTCCATTTAAGAAGTGTTTCCATAATTGAGTTTATTTCATAATGGGAATTCTGTTAAGGTCAATCTGATAGCTGCTTAGTTACTTAATATCAGCAAGTACCTGATATTTTGATTTGGCTGTTTTTTAAGGTCATTTCGATTAAGGTTTGATTTGATATGTCCTAAAAACAAACCGTAAAATATTTGACTTTTTTTTTTTTAACCAAATGATGTGTGCCCCAGCCAGTGCTTAGGATGGATTCTCAATTTGTACAGTGCCCTTACCTTACCCCTCATCTTCATCCCTTGCCCCATATCTGAGCTTTACCCTCGTCGTCATCGGTGATGAGGAGGATGAATGCCAGGGAAGTTTGTGATAAAACAAAGATGTATATACTTTTGTTATTTTAACATGAGTAAAACAGCTGCCTCAGAATGCCCTGCCATGGTGGATAGGCAGGAATTGACCATTTGCTGGATTTTTGCTGTGACTGCTGCAGTCCAAGAATTTGAGACTTCATTCTCCCCAAAAGAAAACATCGCCTGTTCTTCTTGTCTGTAATAAATCATGAACATAGCAGTATTCTTCCAGGCTATTCTTCTCAACTCCAGATAATTTATAGTGGGTGAGACTCATTAGCCTAAAGTGTATTTACAGGTTTGTCAGTCAGAGTTGAATAGAGAGCCAGTGTTTGGGTGGCAAGTGGAAACAGCACAAGCTGTGGGCACACAAAGTAAACTTGGCCCTTGGCTTCTGTACAACACTCCTCCCTGGTTTTACTCATTTTTAGAGTCGTTCCTTTTTTGACTCATTTCTTTCTCTAGCTGTCTGTCCCTACAATTTTAATATTCTCCACTATTTCTTGCTAAACCTTTTCTCTCTGATGGTCTCTTCTCTGGGTGATCATTTCAACTCACCCAGTTGCCTTATAGCAATGACTGCTGTCTTGGTTCATCTAGTCCAAACATCTCTCCTGAGTCCTATACCTTGGTATTTGTTAACCTACTCAAAATATATCTGCATTTGGATATCCTTCAGGCACTCAGACTTACCCGTTATGTCTGAAACTGAAGTCTTTATGCCTAATACTAAACCTTCTCCTCTTCCATGTCACCATCTTCACAATAGCCAAAGCTACAAAATCTAGAATTCTGAGAATATTGTCATGGAAGAGAAATAATAAGATCCAGAACCATTCTCTCATGAAATAGCAGATCAGATCCAAAAGTATTATGTATGTACATACACAGATACACTGACACAGATCTCACACACACACACACACACACACACACACACTTCGTTGTTCAAAGAGTAATATTGCATAGTTTTGCATGGTTTTGAAATTTAAATAAATATAATCATTTATTTAAATGTGTGTATTTTTTTTAAGAGATGGGGTCTCACTCTGTCACCCAGGCTGGAGTGCAATGGCATGATCATAGTTCACTGCATCCTCAAACTCCTAGGTTCAAGGGATCCTCCTGCTTCAGCCTCTTGAGTAGCTAGCACTACAGATGTGTACCACCACACCCAGCTAATTTATTTTTCACTTTTTTTTTTTTTTTTTTTTTTTGTAGAGACAGAGTCTCACTGTCTTGCCCAGTAATATGGTCTCATACTTCTCATACTACTAGGCTCAAATGATCCTCCCGCCTCAGCCTCCCAAAGTGTTAGGATACAAGTGTGAGCCTTGCTCTTTTGCTCAACATTATGCTTAAGATTCATGTATGTGTATAACTGTATAATCTAGTCCATTATATGAAAATTTAATAATTAATTCCCCTATTTTCCTTTGGAGAGACATTTGGGTAGTTCTTGCTTTTCACTGTTGCAAACAATGCATCTATGATTGTGTACCTATCTCCTGATACACATATGCAAATGTTTCTCAAGGGAATGTACCTATGAGTAGAATTCCTAGGTTATAGGTACATATACCTTCATATACCTTGACAGTTACTACCAAATTGTTTTATAAAATGGTTTCAAACATTTGCACTCCTACCAGCAAGAATTTATCTAGTTATTCCACATCCTCCAAAATATTTGATATTATTGTACATTTTAATTTTTGCTAATCTGGTGTAAAATATTTCACACTGGCTTTAATTTGCATTTCCTTGGTCGCTAATGAAGTTGAGCTTATTATCATATGTTTCTTTACCTCCATTGTTTCCTCTTTTTGGAAGTTCCTATAGTCTTTGGCATATGTTTTGGCTTTTAAAACATTGTTAATAGGAGTTCTTTGGATATTCTTTGTTACTAGCATATGTCGCAGTATCTCCTCACAGTTTGTGACTTGTCATTTCATTCTCTTTAAGGTATCTGTTGATAAACAGAAGTACTTACTTCAAATGCAATTCAGTGTATCAATCTTTATCTTAATGGTTTTCAATTTCTGCCTTGAATAAACTTTCTTATTTCAAGGTAATAAAGACATTCCCCTTTATTTTCTTCTAAAAGCTTTAAAGTTTTGCCTTTCTCACTTAAGTGTTTAATTCACCTGGAATCATGCTTGTTTGACTTCTGACACACAAAAAAATTGAATTGTATATGTGTTGTATAGGTAGAAATATAGTTAGGCCTCAAAAAATTAGTTATTTAAAATAACAGTTGAGTTTTTAAATTTAAAATCATTGTTTTTGTCAAAAGTCAAAACAAGCATGATTCTTCAAGTGTTATGGCGCCATCAATCACTATTCATTTTCCCAGATCTCTCTGTTTGCACAGGTTGACACCTTGACGTATTTCAGAAATATTACTCTCAGAACATGTTATAAAACATAAGTCACTCTAAACAATACTAATGCTTCTCGTTTGAATAGGAAGCGATTGCTATTCCGGCCGTAGTGATACCATTTTAAACTTGGCTGAGAAAATGTCTTTACAAAATGAGATAAATATCATTTTAAGGATGTTACTAATTTAACTCCTATAAAGTTAAAAGAGAAGTCAATAATTTATTCTAACATTTTTAGAGAAACTTTCCCTGGATTAGACTTTCTTTTTAATAAATCTAGCTTTTGATCTATAATGTTCATAGTTAATTAGATGATGTAGTGCAATTTTTATTCAAGTTGTAGTTTGTGTATGTGTGTGCCTGTGTGTGTGTGTTTTAACACAGTATGAAATTAAACTAATAGAACATAGGAATCTCTGCAACTATATTTTTGAGAATATACACCACGTTTTAGTGAGAGTATCATCTGGAGAAGTTTCATTATATTCTCTTTATTTGAAAAAAGACTTAGGCTTTAGCCTGTAACTTTAGTTTCTTATTCTGTCATTAATGTTTCCTCTTTAATTCACATTAATCATTTATTCCACAAATATTTCTTGAGAGCCTGTATTTTGCAAAGTAGTCTATGCTGAACTATTCAAACATAACAAATTCAGATTCAGGAACTGGAAGAGCTCTAAGATCACTTATAATAACCTCAACCTTCCACAAATGAAGAAACTGAGGTCCAGCAGTGACCTGACCAAAATTTCTATTGAGATTCAGAATATCTAGATTCAGAATATCCCCTATTGAACCACGTTGCCCACAGAAAACTATCCGAACATATACCTGAATGTTAAATATTGATATAATATTTATAGAGATGTCTAAAAGGATAAGTCACGCTTTGTGAACAAATTATGTCATTTAGGTGTTACCTTCAAGCTATTTATAACATTTTTAAGATAAAAAGACACACTTGAAAACATTAGGTAAAGTAAATGTTTAACTTAAAGCTTTCTGAGAGCAGGAGTAACACTTATATTTGTTCTATTTTCCTAACACAGTGAGCTGTTCATAGTGTATAATCAACAAGTACAGTATTGATTAAATAAACAAAACTGTATGTTGAAGTATAAGATACAGATATTAGGTACTGTAAATGACCAGAGGAAATAAAAATTACAAATATGAAATGAAATAGGAACATGGAAAAAAAGTAAGTCCTTGTGGAAGGTTTAGAATTTAAACAGAGCTGTAACTAATGGCTATAATTTCATTAAGAACACCCAAGTTTCTAATTATTTGTTTCTCTCACTTTCCATTAAAACTTTAGATACAGGTTCTCTGAGTTGTTTACTTCAAATTATACCTCTAAGCGTGATTTCTTGGAGAAGGCATGTTCATGAAAAAAATATGATAAATATGCTAAGATATATGTATAAGGATACTAATTGTCTAGTTTATAAGGGCATTTAAAAATTGAACCAACCCAAACCTCTATCAGTGAACTAATAGTACATCAAAATTAAAATCAATGATGAATGTAGATCTAAATTTTTCAACATGAAAATACATCTCTAATATATTATAGAGTAAAAATATCAAGCTGCAAAACTATAAATGTGTAGAATGATCACATTTTTGTAAAAAAAAGGCTGTGAATGTACAAGTAATGCAAAATAGGATAGTAGACATTTGTATTCGTCTTTTTTCACACTGCTATAAAGACATGTCTGAGACTGGGTAATTTATAAAGAAAAGAGGTTTAATTGGCTCACAGTTCTGTAGGGTGTGCAGGCTTATGCTGCTGGGGAGGCCTCAGGAAACTTACAATCATGGTGGAAGGCAAAAGGGAAGCAGACACATCTTCACATGACTGGCAGGAGAGAGAGAGCAAAAGGGGAAGTGCTACACACTTTTAAACAATGAGATCTCATGAGAACTCACACACTATCGTGAGAACAGCAAGGGGGATGTCTGCCCCCATGATCCAGTCACTTCCCACCAGGCCACTCCTCCAACATTGGGGATTACACTTCAACATGAGATTTGGGTGCAGACACAAAGCCAAACCATATCATGCCATCCCTGGCCCCTCCCACATCCCC
The DNA here is from genome assembly GCF_000001405.40 of Homo sapiens. NCBI lineage: Eukaryota > Metazoa > Chordata > Mammalia > Primates > Hominidae > Homo > Homo sapiens. Next base: position 83,347,699 of record NC_000005.10, read on the forward strand.
TTCTCACATTTCAAAACATGATCATGCATTGCCAAGAGTCCCCCAAAATCTTAACTCATTCCAGTGTTAACTCAAAAGTTCAAGTCCAAGGTCTCATGTGAGACAAGGCAAGTCTCTTCGACCTACGAGCCTATAAAATCAAAACCAAGCTAGTTTCTTCCAAGATACAATGGGATTACAAGCATTGGGTAAGTTCTCCTATTCTAAGTGAGAGAAATTGGCTAAAACAAAGGGGCTACAGGCCCCATGCAAGTCCGAAAACCAGCATGGCAGTCATTAAATCTAAAAGCTCCCAGATAATCTCCTTTGACTCCATGTCTCACATCCAGGGCACAGTGATGCAAGGGGTAGACTCCTAAGTCCTTGGGAAACTCTGCCCCTGTGGCTCTCCAGGGTACAGCCCCCATGGCTGCTTTCATAGGCTGGTATTGAGTGCCTGCAGCTTTTCCAGATGCATGGCGCAAGCTGATGATGGATCTGCCATTCTGTGGTCTGGAGGATGGTGGCTGTCTTCTCACAGTTCCATTAGGCAGTGTCCCTTTGAGGGCTCCAACCACACATTTTCTTTCTATCCACACTGCCCTAGTAGAGGTTCTCCAAGAGGACTCTACCCCTGCAGCAGACTTCTGCCTGGACATCCATGCATTTCCATACATCCACTGAAACCTAGGTGGAGGTTCTCAAGCCTCAGCTCTTGCACTCTGCACATCTGCAGGCTTAACACCACATGGAAGACACCAAGGCTTGAGGCTTGCACCCTCTGAAGCAATGGCCCAAGCTGCATGTTGGCCCCTTTTAGCCACAGCTGGAGCGGGAGCAGCCACAATGCAGGGTGCCATGTCCCAAGACTGCACAGTGTAGCAGGGCCCTTGGGCTGGCCCACAAAACCATTCTGCCCTCCTAGGCCTCCTGGCCTGTGATGGGAGGGGCTGCCATGAAGATCTCTGAAATGCCTTGGAGGCACTGTCTTGATTATTAACATTTGGCTCCTGTTTACTTGCGCAAATTTCTGCAGCCTTGAATTCCTCCCCAGAAAATGGGTTTTTCTTTTCTACCATATGGCTAGGCTGCAAAATTTTCAAACTTTAATATTCTGCTTTCCTTTTAAATATAAGTTCCAATTTCAGGTCATTTCTTTGTTCATACAGATGAGAGTAGGCTTTTAGAAGCAGCAGGCCACACCTTGAATGCTTTGCTGCTTAGAAATTTCTTCCACCAGAAAAGCATAGCAAGAGTGACCTCTACTCCAGTTCCCAATAACTTCCTTATCTCCATCTGAGACCACCTCAGCCTGGACTTTATTGTCCATATCACCATCAGCATTTTGGTCACAACAATTTAACAAGTCTCTAGGAAGTTCCAAACTTTCCCTCATCTTCCTATCTTCTTCCAACCCCTCCAAACTGTTCCAACCTCTACTTATTACCCAGTTCCAAAGTTGCTTCTATATTTTCAGATACCTTTATAGCAATGCCCCACTTCTCTGGTTACACACATACTATCACAAGAATAGCAAGGGAGAAGTCCACCCCCGTGATCCAATCACCTCCCAACAGGCCCCTCCTCCAACATTGAGGATTACAGTTCAAAAAGAGATTCAGGTGGGGACACAAAGCCAAACCATATCAACATTTTTGTGTTCTTTTTTATGCTTTTCAGAATTTACAAAAAGTCTAACAATAAACATTTACTACCTGTAAAAATAATAAAACTTTTTTAAGAGTTGTGGAGAGAGTTCTAAATTTACTCTATTGACTTGCCATAGATATAAAAGCTCAATGATCTCCATTCGGGACAACTTTTACTGAGTACCTGTTATGACTAGGCACTATGAACAGGGGTCAAAATCTATTTCTTAAGCCCCTCATGACATCAGAAGGAAATGTAAATTATAAGTGGAGCACCAGGAATCTATTTATCCTTCAGTCTGGTCACTTCAGAGTGGTCCTTTGGTCATATGCTGATTTTTTTAAAACAAAATTGATAGATCTCTGTGTTCTGGTTCACAGTATCTAAACAATGGACACAATTACAGAGATCTTTCCATGTCTGACTTTTTAAATATGATTTCAGCTTTTATTTTAGATACAGGGGGTACATGTGCGGGTTTGTTACAGGGGTGTATTGCATGATACTGAGGTTTAGGATAGGGATCTCATCACCCAAGTATTGAGCATAGTACCCAATAGGTAGTTTTTCAACCCATGACCCCTCCTTCCCTTCCCCATGTAGTAATCCCCAGTGTCTATTGTTTCCATCTTTATGTCCATGTATACCCAATGTTTAGCTCTCACTTATAAGTGAGAACACAGGTATTTGGTGTTCTGTTCCTGCATTAATTTGCTCTGAATTATGGCCTCCAGCTGCATCCATGTTGCTGCAAAGGACATTATTTCATTCTTTTTGGTGGCTGTGTAGTATTCCATAGTGTATATGTAATATATTTTCTTTACCCAGTCCACCAATTATGGCCACCTAGGTTGATTCCATGTCTTTGCTGTTGTGAATAGTGCTGCAATGAACATGCCAGTGCATGTGTCTTTTTGGCAGAACACTTTGGGTTTTTTGGGAGGTATATGCCCAGTAACGGGATTGCTGGATTGGATGATAGTTATGTTTTAAGTCCTTTGACAAATCTCCAAACTACTTTCCACTGTGGCTGAAGTCATTTACATTCCCACCAACAATGTATAAGTGTCCCCTTTTCTCTGCAGCCTCTCCAGCATATATTATTATTTGACTTTTTAATAACAGGCATTCTGATTGGTGTTAGATGGTATCTCATTGTGGCTTTGATTTGCATTTCTCTGATGACTAGTGATGTGTAGCATTTTTTTTTCATATGTTTGTTGGTTGCTTGTGTGTCTTCTCTTGAGAAGTGTCTGTTCATGTCCTTTGCCCATTTATTAATGGGGTGATTTGCTTTTTGCTTGTTGATTTAAGTTCCATATAGATTCTGGATATTAGACTTTTGACAGATGCATATTTTGAGGATATTTTCTCCTATTCTGTAAGCTGACTCTTTACTTTGTTGATAGTTTCTTTTGCTGTGTAGAAACTCTTCAGTTTAATTAGGTCCCTCTTGTCAATTTTTGTTTTTGTTGCAGTTGCTTTTGGGGACTTGGCCAAAAATTCTTTGCCAAGGACAGTGTTGAGAAGGGTATTTCCTAGGTTTTCTTCTAAGTTTTTTATAGTTTGAAATCTTACATTTAAATTTTTAAGCCATCTTGAGTTAATGTTTGTATATGTTGAAAGGTAGGGCAATATGGTTTGGATTGGTGTCCCCACCCAAATCTCATGTCTAATTGTAATCCTCAATCTTGAAGAAGGGGCCTGGTGGGAGGTTATTGGATCCTGGAGACAGATTTCCCCCTTGCCATTCTCATGATAGTGAGTGAGTTCTCATGAGATCTGGTTTAAAAATGTGTGGCATCTTACCCCCCGCTTCCTCCTTCTCCGGCCATGTAAGACGGGCCTGCTTCCCTTTCACCTTCTACCGTGAGGCTTCTCAGCCATGTTTCCTGTACAGCCTGTGGAACTGTGAGCCAATTAAACCTCTTTTCTTTATAAATTACCCAGTCTCAGGTAGTTCTTTATAGCAATACAAGAATGGACTAATACATAGGGGCACAGTTTCAATCTTCTGCAAATGGCTAGCCAGTTTTCCATGCACCATTTATTGTATTCACCTTGCTTGTTTTTCCATTTCTTACTTTTAATTGAGATAGTTCAGTTATCTCTTTTGTCTAGGAGGAGCACAAGCAACTCTAAGACATTTTGGCCAGAGAAAAATGTTTAACGTGTTTTGAGTTGACAATGAAAATGTATATATATAATAATTATACTTTTATCCCATACTATATCATTTTCTCCTCCTTTGGAATATATTTTTAGATATTTAATTCCATGTTACAATAATTATGCCTGTATTTATTGTTAATTTTAACATCGCAAATCCCAGAGGGTAGTACTTGTCATCTTGAATGCATTAATGCCTAGCACCTTGGCACTCCTGTGATGATGTTGTCTGAAATTGGCTTGCTCAGAATAAGACAGAACATGTCCCAGGTCTAGTGGCAGCCAACTGTAGTTAATTGTCTCTAATCAAGATGCCAAGGAGAACTCATTTCTAATAATCTGTGCAACTAGGTAAGGGTGCAGGCTTTTAAAAATACTCATCACCTAAACACACTTGATATTTGGGGGTTTTCATTGGTTATTCTTCTCTGCTGTTAACGAAACTCTTACATAGTTTATGGGGTATTAGCAGGTAATAATAATAGTTTCCAAATTCTTTGTGGGAATTTACAAGCATTTACATTTACATCAACTCATTTCATCTTTAGACCACCTCTAGACAAATACTAATATCTCAGTTTTACAGTGGACAGAATAGAAGCCCACTTAGTTTAAATGACTTGCCTAAAGTTACATAGCTAACATGAAATAGACCTGGGTTCAAACTTGTGTTTCCTGACTTCAAGTCCCATGCTTTCTCAGCTATACCAAGGTGTTGTGACTCTACCCCCGCCTTTGAACTTGGAAATAGAGGGGTATTACCAAGTATTACTGGGTTAGCTCAACCTAATCATAATTGCCCCAGAGGCCACCTCTAATTGATAATATTAAGCATACTTTATTAAGGTTCCATAGAGAACCACTGACAAGGTTTCTACAAGGATATTAACACACACTCCACAGCTTTACTTCTGATTGAGCTCTGTTATTCTCTGGCACAGTCTTCCTAAGACCAATTAATAGTGATCATGGCAGTCAGCCTGTTATCTTAGGATTCAAAGAAAATATCTACATAAATATAGCAGTCAATCCATTGAAGTAGTGACTACAATACTGAACCTGAATAAAATTTAGTTTACTAAATGAAGATATGCAGATTCAATAAATGATTATGGACCAACATTTCATCAGCAACTGCTATAAATGTGAAAAATCATTATTTTTCATATATACACATGATCATCAGACCCACTAAAGGTAATTCATGTGACCAAAACTTTCTGCTGCTAAGAGATTAAAATGCATGTTAATCAGTAGAATTTAAGAAAGCCAGAGTAAAATGTAAATTGTGATGAAATCATTAAAGGAGTAACTTGAAAAACCTTCTATATCCTGGCATAAAAGTGATTATAGCACAGAGGACAGAATATTTTATTTCTTGACCTTGATTATGAGTATTGTTATAGGTTCTTGAATTTTCCTTAGGTCAGAATAGAGACATTAATTCTAAAGCAGTTAGAGAAATTAGTCTCTTTATCTCTTTCCTTATAGTTAATAGCATAGAGAAATAAATCTCTAAACCAATTTGAAACAGGATTTAACTGTCATTTCACTTATGTGTCTCTTCATTTTCTTTTACTCTATAACAGAAGTTTTTAAAAATAAAACTATTTTGATTTTCTTTTCAGTTCTAGGCCTGATTCTTCACTACCTGAGACGTCTAAAAAGGAGCACATCTCAGCTGAAAACATGTCTTTAGAAACTCTGAGAAACAGCAGCCCAGAAGACCTCTTTGATGAGATTTAACAGTCTCAAAAAATACTTTGATGTTCACTAGACTATGTTTTCTATTCATTTCTTTAAAATGAAAAAGGAGAATTTCAAGTCAGCAGCCGCTATTACCGTATCTTACAATTTAATTACATACACAGTGAATTGAAACCATTGTGCAAAATGGATTACACATGTATACAAAGATACGATTTGATGATGACACTGGCACATTATTCTAAACTATTCATTCAGCATGCCTATAATTACATAAATTGTATGAGACTTTTTGTTGCAAAGGACACATTTATCATATTCATTCACACATATTATATGTGATAGCTGTCCAACATCCTGTCTGGGAAGATTTTGAAAACAGGACAAAGAAAACATCATTTTAAAATGTCTTCAGCTTTTTTTGAATAGACGTATTCAAACATATTCTGAACATTGATGTTTGAACATTTTAATTTGTGTGATGATGTAGAAAATATAATTTTAGTTTGTACATAAACATTGTGAAAATCTGATAATAAAATTTTTGATACATTGAAGATTTTGTGTTTTTAATAAAATGTGTTATTTAGGTTAACTTTTATTTTAGTAAGTAACAGGTTTTTAGAAACTGCTTATTAATGTAAATGTAACCCCCTGTGTGGCAAAAGAAAAGCATATTTTTCAGGGATTATTGATAAAAGATTTATCTTACACATACAGGGGCCCTTCTTGAAGACAAGGACCTTGTCATAGCTATTTATCTCCAGTAACATCTGGCACTATTATCTTTGTAGTCACTGTTTCTGCTTCTTAACCTTTCATTCTTTCTTCACTTCTTACCTGTTTAATATCCATTCCTTCCGTGCTACTCAAAGTTAACAACATCAGAGTTAACCATGACCACCATGTTGCTAAATCCAGTGGTTGACCCATTCTTAGTCCTCACATTACTAAGCCTCTCAGCACATTTGATATAGTTGATTGATTCTCCTCAGTAAACATTTTCACTTGACTTTTGCAATAGCATATGCTCTTTGTATTCCTCCTTTCCAGTCACTAATTGTTTAGACCTTTTGGCTGATGCCTTCTCCTTTGCCCAATAGTTAAAAGTTTGAGTGTGCTGGGTTTAATTATCAGCCGTCTTCTCTTCATTACCCACATTGTCACCCTAGGTTATTCTAGGTCGTTTGTGATTTTAAATGCCATCTATATGTTAATATCTCCAAAATTACGTAGTTTTCTTTGTAGCCAAATTTTATATGTACATACATATACATGGATATACATGGGTGTATGTATAATTTATCATTAACTTGTCACAAAAGGAGTTTCTTAAGATTTCTTAAAAATTGTTTGTATTAAATCTTGATACATCTTGGCATCTTTTATAAAATACAGACGAGTATAGCTATCTACTTATACCTTTCTTTAGATGTTTTAGCATATCCAAAGCAGAAATTTGATTATCCTTACCATCATTTCTTCTCCAGTCTTACCCATTTGGGAAATTTCACTACCACAATGCAGTTGCTTCAAGCTAAAAACCCAGGAATCTTCCTTGGTGTCTTTGCTTTCTTCTCCTTGCACATCCTGTTATTTTTACTTCCAAAATACAAATTGACTCTCCCTTTGTGTCTCTCTACTGCAGCTGCTGCAGCTACACTCCTTCCTCACTGGTCTCCCTGCTTAATTTTCTATTCTCCTACAATGAGGCCAAACTGAATTTTAAAATCTTAGATAAGATTATTTTCCTACCTGGATTAAAACCTACCAATAATGAACCATTGCCCTTTGAAAAAAGTCTGCACCTGTACCTTGGCCTACAAAGTTTGATATGATGGCACCCCTGCTTACCTCCCCAACCTGATTTCCCACCCCTCTCTCTTTACTCCCCTTGCCTCTCAAGTAGGCCAGAGCTCAGAACCATTGTATTGCTAATCTCTCTGCCTGGAATGCTCAGCTTCACATGGTTGGTTTCTTTATCTTTCAGATTTAGAACCAAATGTCATCTCCTCAGGGGTGCATTCCCTGAAATACCCTTTTTAGGGTTGTCCACCCTCCCAGTCACTCTCTGTCCCATTAAAAGGTTTTTTCCATTATGCATATCACTCTCTCGAATTACTTTTTCATGTCTCCTCTCCCGGTGGAACATAAGCCCTATCACAGCAGAAACATGGCCATCTGCTTTACCTCTCTATCCCCAGTACTAAGAGCAAGGTTCATAGAAGCTTAATTAGTGTTTGTTGAATGAAAGAATGCATGTTTATCACATAGTAGGCACTCGAAAGTTTCTTTACTTACTAAACCATTTTGAAAGGATTGAAAGATTGAAATTTAGCTGGATGACTTGATACAAAGAAATAATTATTCAGAAAGCTCAAGTACTCTTTGTGAATAATGGTAAATAATAGGTATATATATGCATGCACATAGGTGTTTTGTTTTGTTTTGTTTGAGACAGAGCCTCACACCATCACCCAGGCTGGAGTACAGTGGTGTGATCACAGCTCACTGCAACCTCTGCCTCCCTGGTTCAAGAGATTCTTGTGCCTCAGACACCCAGGTAGTTTTTACAGGCATGTGCCACCACACCCGGCTAATTTTTTGTATTTTTAGTAGAGATGGGGTTTGGCCATGTTGGCCAGGCTGGTCTCAACCTCCTAACCTCAAGTGATCCGCCCACCTCGGCCTCCCAAAGTGCTAGGATTACAGGCATGAGCCACTGCAGCCTGCCAGGTTTGACAGTAGAGAGAGAATAAGAAAAAAATTACACACATACACTATTAATCAGGAAAAGGATTTGACTAAGTCAATGGGATAGCAAAATATTTTAAATAGAAATTTTCCTACATTTTAATTTATTTGATGGCTTATATGCAAAAGGAAAAAAACTTTTAAATATATGAAATTTAAATATATAATTATAAACTATCAAATTCTACTCAGTCACTTTGGAACTTCACTGTAATACTGAACTTAGCACTATCCTAGATTTACCCTGTATCTTTCCAAAGTGATTTTGTATGTGAAATACCAAAATCTCAAAATAATATTATCTCACCTGAATAGACCACAAATGACTAACCAAAATTAGTATACAACTGTATATGTGTGTATATGTGTCTATCTATCTATCTATATATATAGATATAGTGAAAGAGAAGAAATTTTCTTATCTTTTGGCTATTAACTCCCTGGTGATAAGAGATGTAGGGAAGGTATTTCCCAAGTAATAATAACAAGTCTATAAAGGTCATAATATTTAGAAAATGTTTGTTTATATTTTTCTAAGGCAGCTGATCTTTTCAATCATTGCTGTGTGTCAGATTGATTGAGTTGGTTAGAACAGAACATAATAAGCCTATAATCTTGGGTTCCTATTTATATCTCATGTGGAGAAATTGAAGACGTGGTTTTTTATATTTCTTACCTTATATAGACAGAGATCTACAGATCTGGTGTAAACATGTCCAGATCCTATTATTCCATACCACGTTTTCTCCTCACATTTTTTTAATTGTCTATACTCTAAACATTGTTGCAGAATGCTGAAATGGAAGGCACAGAAATTGAGTTACAATGCAGCATGGCTTTTTTGACCTTATCATCCTCACCTCTAAGATAAGGAGATTACATTTCTGAAGGTTTTTTCATCTTAAAATGTATAATTTTTGGCCCTTGCATCAGATGGTATGGCTCCAGCCTCATTACAGAAGTTAATGAAAGAAAAAAAAATCCCCTCTCAAGAGATGTCTTTATTATGTGGTTTTAAAAGGTCAAGAAACTACTTTGGAAAAGTTTTTCTGAATGGCCTATAACTCAGATTTGTAAAATACAGGACCCTGTGTTTTTGAGCCAAGCAGCTCTTTATTGGGCAAGTTTGATTCAACAAATGTTTATTAAGGATCAGCTATGCACAAAATACAGAACTGGGCCATGTGAAAAATTAAAGGATAAATCGATCCTTTCAACAAATATTTGTAAGTATTTTTGCCAGTCTCTGTTCTGGACACTAGATGTGGCAGTGAATAGCACAGACAAGTGTCCTGTTTCTGTTGAGGTTATATTCTAGAAATGAAAAGAATGGAGTATATGGGAGGGGATTGCATTGAGTTTTACACATGAAACTACTATGTAATGAACTATAATATGAAGGAGTGGTAGTCCAGATGGTATAAAAAGAACACAAAATTTAAAGGTATGGATAAGAATCCATAAAAGATTCAATTAAGAGATTATGAGAAATCGGGGGGGTTGGAGAGTGGGCTGAGGATGCGACTATCTTCCTCGGATCACATGAGAATACAGAAGGTACTGGGGCTGGGTTTGGGTGGGTACATGGCATTAATGCCTAAATTTGTCACTGTGAATCATTGGAATGAAGGAGACAAGTTACAAGGTATTCCAGAAGCAATGTTGGCCAAAGGTATTTTAGTAGTGTGAACAGTGAGCGACGTTATGTCAAGAAGACATGACAAGAATTGAGCTCTGCAGTTCTAACTGGCACTTCCTTGGGAAGGTATGAGCTGCCAAAAAATCGAAGGTCATAGGGCCCTTCCTGGGTGTCCGGAAATTGGAAAGGAAAGCCAAACAAGAGGTCTCTTGATAGAGCTGCCCCGGAGAAGCAAGCAACCCTTGCCTTTTCATGTCTCTGTCATTCTTGCACTCAGTATTATTTATAGAATCAATTTTTAATAAAAGTGAAACTAGCTGACATCTAAATTCACAAAGGCCTCACGAATTTACTTATAAGACAAGAAATCCCAAAAATAGGTAGTTACATTTTGTATTCATTTCAATGATTTTGTGAGGGAAAATGATATAGTAACAAAAGAACTATTCATGCATCCATTTGTAGCTATTGTCTGAATTTAACATTTTCACTACTGATCTGACAGCTTCTAATAAACGCTTTTCGGGAAGGTAGACTTCATTTGTAAGTGTTCTATGAACTAACCTAAAGTGGTTTTCTCCGTATCTTGATTACTGGAAATGGATACCTTGAGAAATGCATTAGAGCAAGCATTTTATGGTTGCTTCATTAACTGACCATCCACCATCGCTGTTCCTGACTCCCAACTCCCTTTCTTATCTGCTCAAAAACACTCTCCAGCTTACATTAAACTCAGGTTCTTTCTTTCATATATCCACATATCTTCTCATTTAGCTGCTATTTTCCTCTTTTTTTTCTTTTCCTCTCCTCTATTTAAATAAAATTCAATATGAATTTTATGTTAATTTTTCTTCCCTCTTTCAAAGGGCTTTCATTTAAAACTCTCATTTCACAATCTCACAAGCAGCTAAACTTTCTAAATGAGAGTCTCAATGCCCCTAAAGGCTCTTGGTTCTGCAGGGAAGTAAAGAGAGATTAGAGCCCTGCACCCATCTTGATACTGAATTTTCTTTTAAGGGCAGGAGCAATTTTGGTAGCCGCTGTTCCAGTAAATGGAATATAGACCAGTCTTGAACAACTTACTTTTGATTTAGAGAAAATCTCTGACTTAACTGCAATCTTAGAAATAACATAACTAGTCAAATTAATATAGGTGGATTAAACAATTTCTATAAAACCTGTTCATACAAGACCCTTCTAGGAATCTGTCTTTCCTTGCATTCCTCCAAAAACTGGGCCAGAGACAAGGGCATATATAAAAGCAATGTGGTGGGACAGTAAGCATAAAACAGGAAAGGCGGAGAAGCGACTGCAAGGATGCCTTATCAAGATGGCCACCCTGTTGATGACATATGCTTCATCCCACCAGGATCTTCCAAGGAACCTTTTGAAAGTTTTCTCGGAACTGTATATGCAGGGGTGAAAAGGAAAAGCCTTTATCCATCACTTGCTGTTTCCTAGTGGTCAAGGGTAGCCTGGAAACATTGTTCTCCCTACTTCGGGTTTCCCATGTGTGAATACACACCAGGTCTTGCAAATGACCCACGCTGCAGTCTCAGAGAAGCCCCAGGGCAGGAAACAAGAGAAGCAGGGGTGCCAGTTACACCTACTTATAGTAGGGGAAAGACTACCTGGAACTGAGTGCCAAAGGAATGGCTGCTATTGATATAGGGCTCAGAGGAGTTTGAAGTAGCGTACAGAAGAGCCCAATACAGTACCCATGCTTTATACCACATGACCCTGCCCCACTTCCCACCCCTAGCCAGAGTTGATTAGATCAGGGGAAGAAATGTTCTGGCTAACTTGAGTTCTTGGCCTGGCTGAACTTGGGTTTGCTGAAGAAGCCAATCTATAAATTACCAGAGAATGCTGTTAGAAGAGAGAAATGAGCAAATTTGCACACAGAAGCAGAGCACCCTGGGGACCGACAGGGGAAGTAGCCAGTGCCTGGAGTGGCCTTCATCCTTATATATTTCTGGACCAATTCTGATATACACATATCCTTAGAAATCACTGCCTCCTTTTCTGATGTTTTATTAGTCGAATGGTTCTTTGAAACAAACAAGAAATTACCTAATTAATAAGGAAACAGAATACATTCTCCAGAGAAGATTTCAATTAATTTCCATTAGCTTCAATTAACAAGTTTGTCGCAAGTTAACACTACCATTAAAAGAATATTTCAGAAGACCTTCAATCAATACTGGTAGAGACAATTAAACTTCTCGATATGATAGGAAAATAAAATCAATTTTATAATTAAATATGTGTAATTTTCCTAATATAAATGTTTAAGTTTATTAAAATGCCATTACATGCAGCTATGGTCTTATCTACATTAGATGTATCTTCTAATCACTGACAGATTTTAGTAATAGAGTGAAATGTCTGTGATCTTCGGCAACAGCATAGTACTATATATTTTATAAATAAGAAATGTCAAATACGAAGAACTTCACAAAGATGGCCACCATTGGTAGAATAATACGTATATTAATCCTTGAGACAATACAAAGCAACCTATTTTACTTCATCTTATCAAATAGTCAAGAGACTACTTCAGAGTTATAGCATTTTTATGTTACGACAAGGAGTTCTCTCTGTCACTCTCTCATATAAGATGTGTTTGAAGTCCTTAGTAGAGTTCTAGATAATCTACTGGGACAAGATGATTGTAGTGATGATGGGAGATGTATGCTTAAAGGTGATGGTTTCATCATTATACTTTGCAAATAATTAGGGAAATTCAACCAGGTGAAATTTTTCAGAAACACCTACTGATATTAGAAACAACCTGTTTCTGTCTGCTGAAAGAGGTATAATACAGTATATTTCTCTGAGGAACTAAGTTTACAGTGGTGTAATTATATTACTACCAAAGATTAAATGATTCTCATGAATATTTGCTCTTTAATGCCAAAATCCATTAACTTGCTTTGGCCAATAAAATGTGAATGAAATAACAATATGCCAGTTTTGAGCCTTGAACTAAAGAGGCATTACATGCTTCTGCTTGCCCTTTGGGAGAGTCAAATCTCTGCTATGAGGAGAACATGCCACAAGTAGCTGCTGCCTCTCCCACCTGGGCTTCTGAAGAGTTACAGAGCAGAACAGAACCTGATTCACATGCTGGAGCCACGCCCACTCCCCTGAAACCTTTAGAAGAGCCGTCCAGCTGAGCCCAGTCTAGATAAGCTGAACCACAGTCAACCATGCTATCCTGTGACCATGAGTAATGCTTGCTACCAAAAGCCACTGAGCTTTGGGATAGTTAGTTACATAGCAGTGTTTTGACAATAACTGACTAATACTTATATGGAATAACAATTTTACAACATTTGTAGTAGCTTCTAGTATATTCATGAAACAGAAATCAGGTATTTTCTGGCTGGAACCTGGTAATAAAATAAATAGGAATTAGGAATGTGGGTTTGGGGACCAGATCAAGCCAAGTTTCTACCATGCTTCTGACAGCTATTGACTGTGTGACTTACTTATTTTCTCTGAACTTGAGTTTTCTTATGCATACAATGAGAAATAAGATGATGCACATAAAGCAGCACAGTACCTGGTGCACAGTAAGTGAGGAATATGTGGAAGCTCTTTTGTTACTATCATACTATAAAATCAACACAGAATGGATCTGCAAGAGTTATGTATAACCAGATTATCCACTAAAGTGATCCTTTCTTTCAAACACCCTATCCTTGGACCTTCCTAAGTCTGATGCTGTCCTAAAGATTTTTATGAGTTTCTGTAGGATATATTTTCATAGCCACTTCTGCTGTGAATTCCTGCTTCTACAGGATTCTGAGCCTCATTCATGTTTTGACAACCCTTACTTTCTTCTTTGTCAGCTCTGTGCTGAGCCATCATGGAACTTATCTCCCTTTCTTTCATTTCCATGACAACTTTCTGTGTGTAGCAGAACTTATTAAAAGTTTGGGTCAGAGAAAGCTGTTTATCCCAAAGAAAGCCAGCAATTTATATTTGATTTTTACCATAACTCTATTCTTTTTTATTTTTCTTTTTTTTTTTTTCTTGGAGATAGAGTTTTGCTCTGTTGCCCAGGCTGGAGTGCAATGCCATGATCACAGCTCACTGCAACCTCTGTCTCCTGGTTCAAGAGGTTCTCCTGCCTCAGCCACCCTAGTAGCTGGAATTATAGGCATCTGCCACCATGCCCAGCTAATTTTTGTATTTTTAGTAGAGATGGGGTTTCACCAGGTTGGCCAGGCTGGTCAACTCTATTCTTTAAAGTCTTCTAACTCTTTACAAGAATTTCCTATTGACAACATATATCCATAGAGTCCAGACTCCTGCCATGTTATCTATTCCTTCCCTCTGTCCCTCCTTCCCCTCTCCTCTCTGCTTTCCCACAATTCCTGTTACCTTCTCATGCAAAGCAACTTAGCTGCCTCTTTCTTTTGCTCATCTCTTTTTATCAAATAGTCATGTAACATGTTTTTATGTAACACATTTTCCCTAGTACTAAATGTTAATACTTTTTACTCCCTCATCACACTTGCAATGTCATGTTAAAGATGGCATGACTTCCAGGCAAAGCAAGACCTGATTAAGGTATTGACCTATCTAGTGAAGTAATATGATTATCAAAATTAAGGAGAATTTGTGATTAAAGTATAAGAAGCGAAGAATTTTAGAGGAAAACATTGTCTGTCCAAGTGCTATTTAGGCAAAAAAAAAAAAAAAAAAAAAAAACTATCTCATTGTTTTAGGTATGTTCATGTATTCACATATTGATTTATTTGTATTCTCCCCCAAAAGATAAAATTGGAATTCTTCTATAGTGACCACAACTGGTTGTCTTTCCTTAGAATTTGGAATTTCACAGTGTGGTTACGTCTGACTTGGAGATAGCTTTTCATTTGCAACAATTTATTACCAAAGGCTATGTGTATTTAACAATAATTTTATGTTGCAAGACTTGTGGCATTTGAGTAAAAGAAGAAAAAAGTATATAATAAAACAAACACTAGTGTTTTCTTGAGGAATTTTATACCAAATACTGCCATTTCTGAAAATCATTTCTCTCTTGGTTTAAGTTTTCTGTTATTGTCCTAACCTATCATACAAGATACCAGTAACTTTCACGATTTCCTACAATCAGCAAATATTAAGTTAGGGGTTTTTGATGATGGCAAACCAATGTATTATTTCACTTTTATTATTCTCTGTATCAATAATCTTATTTATTTCAAGAACTTAAAATTTGGACTAAATGCAAGAACATGAGGCCTTGAGGTTATACACAAAGTTACCAACTGTGGTTAGAAGAACACAAGTCCTAAAGTGTATGTATGTGTGTTCACCCATTTATTGAACACTTTGTGCCAGGCACGCTGCTAGGCACTGGGGATATTAAAATGAAGACATCACTTTTGGCTTCCAGGTTTTTGAAAGTCTAGACAAAGGAAGGAGGCAGACGTGTAAACAGACAATCAAGATACGTGGTAAGTGCTGTAAGAGAGATGTGCCCAGGATGCTCAGAGGCACAAAGGAGAATCAGCCTGCTCTTATTCCACTGGGAGAAGCGGCCATGCCCAAGGAAAATTTGAGAAGGAGATAGATGAAGTTTGAGCTGAACTTCAGGGAAGACCCAGGGTTTTCCAGGAGGCTTAGGTACTCTCAGCCACTTGTGAGGCACAGAGGAAGAGAGTGTGGCCTGATCAGTATCTTGTGGCAGGAGTGAACCCCAGGGCTGAGAAGATAGGGTAGGCTACCCACTAAGAGTCTTGAATTTGGCAATAAGAATTTACATTTTAACCTGAATAAGCATCTGTGAAAGGATCTTAAGGGCAGTAAAGGGACAAGCTGATTAGATTTGTGCTTTTGAAAGGGAGGTTTGAAGGTAACGTGAAGGCACAACCACACGCACTCAGACTCTCCTATTTCTTTGCTGACTGTGTAATCCGCCGATGCTATTCCCAGCCTGCCTGGGAAACTGTCAAACTCCACTTCATACAAAGGAGCATCCATAAATGAAATGTTGCAAACAGTCTTTGGAAGTTGAGAGACTACTGGCAGAGTGACGCCTAACCTGCCCACAACCAAGAGAGACTCTTTCTAGTACTTGGCCCTTGGGCTTTGATATAAGCAGAAGTGGTTTTATCATTTTCTTTAGAAGTGATTTGGAGAGAATGTTTTTAAGCCTCTTGTGGAATTGACTTCCTTTTTTGAACATTCCCAACCCTGCTTTGACATCTTTATTTCCTGCAGAATGCTGCTCCTGTATACCTTGAAAGTAATTGCTGTCACTGTCGTCATTAATTCGCTTCTCTTTGCACCTCTTTCTGGAGTCTGTAGGTGCAACTATGCTGTTAGAAGCAGTGTTCACATTTCTTTCTTAAGGCTTCAGCATTTTGTACAAAGGTACCAGATCTGGATCCAGTCCATGTGGAGGTTTGAGGGGAGTGGGGTTCAATACACTGGTACCATTCAATGAATGTTAAATAACACAAAGCATTGTGAAAGAGGGGCTTAAATCCTGAAAGGAGACATTGTGAACTAACCTTTTATTCCCTGGGATTTTGATCCCAGGACAACTAAGAGCTATAGAATATCCTTTTTGCCCAAGAACAAAGTGGCAGAAATAGCACTTTTTAAAAAAAATCAAATTATATTTTGTTTTCAAGTTTCAACAGAAAATTTGAGACAGTATTTCTCATTGTCTTTCTAATAGACTCTGGAGAAATAGTGGCTAATATTTTTAACATGTTAGCCACTATTTCTCCACAGATTTTAATGGAAAAATGAATGAGGAGATACTTTTTCCACCTCCCTGATGATTTTTGCAATAACTGAACTTTATAAGAATACTAAAAAAAAATCTTTTATGAGTCAGTCTTCCAGTACACTTGAAAATAATCAGATTTTCTTTCACTTCCCTTCCTCTCCTTATCAGGAGAGCACTTGCAACCAGGCCATCTATGCATGTGGCTGAATAGCATCATAGAATCATTGAGAATGTCTTAAATATTAAAATGACTACCAATGTCCCTGAAGCCCTGAAACAGGTGGCAGCATCCCCACTTGGGGTCACCCATCAGTCCTATGAAGAGGACACCTACAGCAGCCGTTCCTTATAAAGAAAAACACGGTTGAGTCTTCATTACACTTAATTAAAGAACAGCCGAAAATCCTGTCTTGCATTTTCAACACATGGTTCCAATTAGTGTCCCAAAGCAGGACGCTGACTTTGATAAAAGCATTCATGTGCACCTTTGGTGCCTGTACAATGTACTCTTTCATTTTACAAGGTGGCTGAAGTGCAGTTTTAAATATCTTTTTTTAAATATTAACAAAAAACCCAGGAGTATAAGTTTAGAAAGAGGTGAAGAGAAGTGAAAACAATTTTGTTAGAATGGCTTGCCATAGGCTTCTAGAACCCTGTATGCAGAGGGCGGTTTATTTGGTAAAATCTGCACTGCTCATTTGCAGGGCTGTGTGCAAGAAGCATTACAGCTCCTGAGAGTTGCACTCAGAGGCCATTCGATGGGAGTTCCGTTACCTCAGGAAACACCACTTACTGTACTGTAAATTTGCTTCATATGACTGATCTGCTCAAAAGGCCCTGGAAAGCCCCATTCAAATAAATTGTTTCAGACCACGCTATAACTGATGGACATCCATCTTCAGTGGACTCTCTGGGTAACTTCTGGAGGGTGGTATTTTTTAAGTAGGAAGGGAAAACTTGTGTCCTAGAATCTGGGAATTAGATGTGGAAATGCTTAATTTCGGTCATCACTTCTCACCTTTTGCCAAAATAAAGGGAAATAGCAAGAGGAAAAAGAAAGATAAAACAAGTAAAATGTTTTACGACTGCTTCACATGGTGAGTGTTCCACACTGCCCCAAGAATAGTGGAATGATTTTCCACTTTGGGTCATGGGAAAGCGTGATGTCTTTAGTCCCAGAAGGGTGAGACACATACGGTTATACAGCCCTTCGTGAAAGCTGAAAACAATCCCCTTTGTGCCTGGCTTTCATTTTCAGAGATACCATTCAATTTTTGGCAGATAATACACAAGTTAGAGAAATGTGCCCAGCAAGAACAATAAAAATCATCCCCTAGATTCATTACAAATTTCATTATTAGGAAATAGTCTCTAAAAGTGCCAAGGCAAGAACAAAAATATGAGCAGAGTAAAACTGAGCAAATGGATTTCTTCAGACCAATTACAACTTCAGTAAATAAATAATTAAGATGATCTTTCCGATAGCTTCATTCTTGGAGACTTGGTGACAATAGATATACTATGTCTTCCCTTGGTTTTCAAAATTATAAAATAGAGTTTGTCACTTTTCTAAAAGGGATCCCAAATAGTGACGGACTGAAACTGTGCAAACCTGTTCTTCTTACAGGAATCAATTTTCCCCTCCTTCAGCTTATGCCCCCTAGTAACCACTGGTGATATACCTTCATCAGGCAATAGAGAGAAGTATGCCATCTTCAATGAGTCCCTTTTTAACAGCCCCATTAACTCTTACTGAGTTGACTTATTTATACATAGGTGAGTATTATACATCATTAATGAATAATTCTAGACTTCAAATATCTCTAAATCTCCAAATCATTATTCAAACTGAACTGTGCTATAGGCACATTTCCTATTCACTCATGAAATCTTGGACTTCCCAACCTCCAGAACCATGAGCCAAATAAATTCAGTTCATTGTAGATCCCCTACGCTGTGGTGTTCTCTTACAGCAGAACAAAACAAGACGGATCCTTGATTCATCTATGTCTCTCCCAACCTACATCCAATTCATAAGAAAAATACACCCAGAATTAAATTTTTTTTCTATCAACTTGAGCTAAAACAAGTTAGTATCCTATTTCAACTGGGTTATTTCAATAGCATCCCAACTAGTCACCCTACAACTCTTCAAATAGGAGGCAGTGACCATTTTAAGATGTTGGATTCATATTCCTTCTCTGCTCAAAGCTTTTCCATGCCTTCTTGGCACACTCAAGTAAAAGCCAAGAGCTTTACTGTGGCTTACAAGACTCTGAGAATAATCCTCTACCACTCCATTTCTCTGGTTGTATCCACTACCCTGCCCTGTTTTCCCCTCTTTTTGCTTCAGCCACACTCATGTCATTGCCATACTTTGAACAAACCAAACCACTCCTGCTTTTGAACATGCTGTGTTTCCTAGCAGGAAAGCTTTCCCTTAGATACCCACAGAGTTGCTTCCTTGCTTTTTTCACGTTATCAGGGAGGCCTTCCCAGACCACCCTATGTAAAACAGCACCCTCCTACTACTACCTATCACAGAAGTATTTTCCTTGCCCCGATTAGTTATTTTCCACACCACCTATTAGACCTAGCATACTATATATTGTGTTTATTTGTTTTTTTGGCCATCTGTTCTCACCAGATTTTAAACAGGATTAGAACAGGGATTTAGTCTGTTTTGTTCTCTCCTACAACTTTGTTGCCTAGAACGATGTTGGGTACACAGTAGATTCTCAATCGATATTTTTTGAATTAATGATCTAAATCTACATTACTGATTAAATCAGTATCATGATGATTACAAGAGCAATAAGTCATAGAAAGCTTTGTTGATTGGACTCATTACAATTCTAGTACAACAAACCCTTTACTAAATCTCACTTGAGAGGTTGTCTAAAGTACAACATCAGACTCTCTTAGCATTGATAGTGTTCACATATTACATGTCTATGTGCAAATCATATGTCCAAGCCCCACCAATGTGAGGCTGAAAATAAAATCACATTAATTTTAAATATTCAAAATAAAACCTTAGCCTTCACCCTATGTGACTGTTGTGTTCTTCTCTTTACAAACCCATCCTGCTCATCGTTTACTGTGTCAGCCAGCCATCTGGCTCAGACCTTAGGCCTCTGCTCCTTGCACGGGCCACTCTGCTCACTTCTCAAGCTCCCTGAAAGAGCTTCCTCAGGCTGCTGCCACTGCCACCATACTGCCTCATCCCAAAAGTGGGCATCAAGCTTTCTCTTGAAACTTGACATACACACAGCACAGTGGAAACCAGGCTGTCACTTAAATAAGTCCTTATCAAGCTCTCCAGTGATCTTCATATTCTGAATCCAGTGGAGAAGATGGGAGAGGCTGGGATTACAGGAGCCCACCACCATACCCAGCTAATTTTTTTTTTTTTTTTTAGTTGAGATGGGGTTTCACTATGTTGGCCAGGCTGGTCTTGAACTCCTGACCTCAAGTGATCCACCCACCTCGGCCTCCCAAAGTGCTGGGATTACAGGCATGAGCCACTGCACCTGGCCTCTTTTAGTCAATATTTTAGTGGCCCTCAAGTGTACAACATAGGCAGCTCTGTATACCATACACAGGTGTGGAACTGGTTCAGATGCTGTATGGAGAAAACACAGCTGATGCAAGTGCTTCACACTGTTTTTAAAACAGGCTGTGGATGCTTATTTCAATGATCTCTACACTGAACCCCAATAAGAAAAAAAAAAAAGGAGTTGCTGTGATTGGGTAGGATTCTGTAGTTGTGTTCCCTTATGTTTTGTAAACAAAATTAATTTTGCAAGCTATTGATTAAGAGAATACACTTAAGAGTCAAAGAATTGAGTTCAAACCCCAGTTCAGGGTGACCCTTGGAAAGCGTCTTTCTCTCCCTGAACTACAGTTTCGTCATCTCCAAAATGCAGTCAATCATCCCAGGTGGTGCTGAGGACTAAAGGAGATGACATGAAATGGCAATGAGCACAGGGCCTGGTGCACAAGAATGGCCCATGTGAAGTGTGAGGGGTTGTTCACGTTCATCTGCTGTCACTTCTATCCTAGCCTAAAACTGTTAGGAGGGGAAGGATGAGTGTGGTGTGATGCCCAAGGCAACAAAACCTGGTGCTGGTGACTAACTAACCGCTCTCCCAAGGGTAACAGAACAACTGCTTTTTTGTAAACTGGGTTAAATCACTCCCTGGTGTGGCTAACGATGACTAATACAGCAGAAGGGAGTGGGCTCCCCTGGTGCAAGGCACTATTGGGAAGTTGGCTGTGCTCTGCTTACAAAAACTGTGGGTCATCAGCGAGCTCTAATTCTTGTAGATCCTACGATAGTCCTTAATTTGCAAAAAGTTTACTCATTTGCAGAAAGGATTTCAACCCTTACGATATACTAAATATAATTTCTGGGAAGTCCTTACAGACATCCTAAAGAGAAATACACTCCATTAATGGTGTGTTAATAGCCTTTTGACAAGGCAGGCTGTGTTAGTGTATAAGACATTAGAATGGATAGAGACATAGAACTTGGTAGATGATAGGTAACAGGGAATATTAACCAGAAAACTCATACTGAAAACAGAAAAATGGCCCCTTTTGACCACAATATTGAAATTCTTTTATTTTTGTCTCTCTAATAGCACAGCAAGGCACAATATTTCAACTAGAGGTATTAGAAACGTTACTAGCATTAAGCAAATATGTAGCAACTTGCATAACTTCTTAGAAGTGAGTAAAATCCAGTTCCTCATTTTTTCAAGATTCCTTTTTACATAGTACTCTAGATAGGATTGCAAAAGCAATGATCTTGCAAGAAACGGGACCTTCACTGCAAATGGGATACACCGTTAAAATACACAAGAGAAAGCATTTTACTTTCTTTGTTTTCTTTTTAAGCTTTTATCATAGAATCAGAGGGCGCATGGGCAGGATTGTTACAGAGGAATTTTGCGAGATGCTGAGGTTTAGGGTATGACTGAGCCTGTCACCCTGGTATTGAGCATAATACCCAATAGACAGTTTTTCAACTCTTACCTCCATCTCTCCCTCCCCCGTCTAGTAGTTCACAGTATCTATTGTTCCCGTCTTGTGTCCCTGTGTACCCAATGTTTAGCTCCCACTTCTAAGTGAGAACATGTGGTATTTGGTTTTCTGTTTCTGCATTGTTTGCTTAGGATAATGGCCTCCAGCTGCATTCAGATTGCTGCAAAGAACCTGATTTCATTCTGTTTTATGGCTGCATAGTATTCCACGGTGTATATGTACCACATTTTCTTTATCCAATCCACTATTGATGGGCACCTGGGTTGATGCCATGTCTTTGGTATTGTGAATAGAGAGCTGTGATGAACATACAGGTGCAGGTGTCCTTTTGGTGGAATAATTTACTTTCCTTTGGGTATATACCCAGTAATGGGATTGCTGGGTCAAATGGTAGTTAACTCTTAGTTCTTTGAGAAATCTCCAAACTGCTTTCCACAGTGGCAGGACTAATTTACATTCCCACCATCAGTGTGTAAATGTCCCCTTTTCTTTGTAGCCTTATCAATATCTGTTATTTCTTGATGTTTTAACAAAAGCCATTCTAACTGGTATGAGATGCTATCTCATTGTGGTTTTGATTTGAAAATATGAGTCTTTTTCTTCCCATATATTTAATCTTCTGTACTCATTTCAACCTGGTCTAATTTGCTAACCCAAACCTAGACTATATTGCCACATCCCTGCCAGGATTCTGAGAGAGGACAAGAGCCCCAAACTCAGGTATTAGCTATTTCAGAGGTGCTCTTAGTTCTCCTAAACTTTCCTTGACAACTGTGAGGACTTTGGCCCCTTAAATCATATTATTGAGAACTAGACAATGTAGTCACAAGACCTCTGATGCTAAGTGTTTGATTCTTGTTGCAGATTCCCCAATACTCCAATTCTCCAAGCAGTGGATCTTGAGCTGTGACTTCTGTCTGTCATAGGAAGTGTCCTCATCCCTGGAAGAAAGGTAGATCCCCTCAGAACCATGTCAGTCCTCCTCTCCACATCTTGCATTGTGGCTCAATCAGACATGCTCCCAATAAAGTTCCCAGGAACAGAGAAATCATAATTATTTCCTCATTTCTTTACTTATCTCTGAAAGACACAGAGGAGGGCTAGTGCATGTCAGGTACCCTACTGCCTGTCCAAGTTGTTTCTGCTTTTTAGAAATGTCTAAAAACTCCAGCTGAACTCATAATTTCCCTTCCACCTTTAGCCTACCTTGTTCCTACTTGGGCTTCTTCAACTTGGTGTGTGTCATCACTGAATACCTGGTCACCAAAGTTGGAAACCTCATTGTGATTGTTGACTTTTTCATCTCCATGACTAAGCATTGACCCCAATTCCAGCCCCCAATCCATCTTCAAATTCTATCGTTTCTTCCTCTGTAATAGCGAATTCTCTCTATTCCCACTAAAATTACCATCATGTGTTACCTGCATCAACATCACAGCCACATACCAAGTCTGTCTTCCTCTAACTCTGCCCCATGCCAACTCTTTCTCCTGCTTTAGTCACTTTCCATCTCCATATTCTTCATTCTTCTGCCTTCTCTGCTTTCCACTGCCTTCAGTAAAATAAGTCCAGTCTTCATAAATTATCTTGCAAGGCCTGTCAGCATATGGTGCCTCCTTACTCCAGTGACATTTTCAGTATTCTCCTCTTTGTCATCCACTCTGATTGACACTAATCCACCTCAGCTCTTGTGCTTTTTCTTTGCCTCCAAGCCCTTTCATCCACTCTTCTCTTTGTCTTGAGTATCCCTTCTCACTAAGCTCCCTTCATCCTCTGGCTAATTCCTATTTGTTTTACAAGTCTTGGATTCAGTGTCACTTTCTTCAGAAACCTGTTACTGACTTTCCAAATCCTGATTAGGCATTCCTCGGGAGTATTCTTTTACCATATCTTCCTCACTAGAACACTTAGCACATTCTATTTTAACTGCATATTTGTTTTTCTGATTATCTCAGACTGTCAGTTTATAAAGACAAGAACCCAGTCTTTCTTTTTTACTGTTCCATTCCTTGTACCCAGAGCAAGTCTTCCTGAATGAATACATGAATAAATTGAATAAATGAGTGAGTATAATGGAAATAAACAAGAAAACATGTTTAAAAATTAAAAGAAACAATCTACATGTCAGATGCATCTGAGAGAGTGAGGGAGCTGAGGATGAAGTGAACTGTGGACTCATAGGTAGATGGTCTATGACCACAGCAGGAGCACTTTCAGTGGAGTGATGGGACAGAAACCAGAGCCACGTGGATTGAAATTGGCTGGTACATGAGTGTGTGTAGACAGCAAATGTATAGACAAGTTGCTTAAAAAGTTGTGCCATGATAAAAGGAAGACATTGTTGATGCAGGAAGGAGAAGGGCTGACTGCAGGAACATACACATGAAAGATTGAAGAAATCCTTTGTAAGAAGGTCGGAATTATCCTTAGGGTCACCAAAAAGGCAGACACACACAAAAAAGGAAAACACAATTGGGCAAAAGTCCACAAACACATTTTAAATCAAAGTTCTGATAAAATGTGCTAGGACAAGTAAGAAAATTCCAGAAAGCACTAGCAAAGTAAGTTTACAATGTTGCTTAGCTCTGCTTTGTGCAGCAAGTAATAACTATATTGGTAGATTTTGTTGGCCTGTTGTGATAACAACATAAAGGGAAACAGCTGGCACTGGGGTGCAGGAAATCCTTTTGCTTTAATACATTATTAAATATTTAAGTCACAAAATTGTGAAGAGTTATACATCAATCAACCATCTAATCACTTCCCAGGTTAAGGAATAAAAAAAAAATTATTAAATACAGTTGAACACCTAGTGAATCTAGAATTTAAAATGATATTTATCCCAAATGTGCAAATTTCCAAAGTGCAATTTATTTTTTAGCATGACAAATGTTTGCACTGTGGGAAGTCATAACCAACTTGTAGAAGTTTATACAGAAAATATTTTCAGTAAACAAAGTGGAGTGCAGAACTTCAAGAAGAAAGTGTGAGGGACGTGATGATAAAAGCAAAGGAAGACTAGCAGATGTGCCCCAGGCCCTCCTCATTGTCATCAATCATAAGCCTGTCCTACTCCGAGGTTCCCAAGCAGTAGGTCTTGGACCCCTGGGGGTAGCAGAATTTATTGTGAGGGGTCTGTAAATCCATATGCACATTCAGTATGGAGAGACTAAATAAATAATATGTCATACACACACATTATTTTTAAACTGTCTGTAGTTGAGGTGATGAATAACTTACAAATTCAGTTACTTGCTTCACCAAATTAATAGCAGCCTTTGATCATTAATGTATTTTCTCAATCTACAGACATTAAAAGTATAATTTCTAGCATGACACAGTCCTCATACTCAAAAAACTGGGGGCTATTGCTATTGTTACTTGCTAGAAAACATGTGTAAAGCCACTGGACGATCATTTAAATGGGAAATAAAAGTTTGATTTAATGTTTTAATAGTTGTTTGCATTATAAAAATATCACTTACAATACATTTCAAGGAATAAGCTTGTTTTATTCACTTTTTGTTTCTGCAGACTGCTTGAGTGCTAAAGCCCTTCTTAGTCCATGCTCAATAGCACAAGGCAGTCAGACCTTGGAAAATGAAATCGAACATCCAAGGGACCAGTTCTTTCGGATTCTGAGTGGAGTTTCTCTTACTCTTTTGAACACTGATAGTCCTTCCTTTGGTGAAAAAAGGGAGGCGGAAATCTCACCTTCCTTCCACTTGCCTTCTGCTTGCCATGCCCTGAGCCCCACTAGGCAGCTCTACCCAGCATTGGCTCCTGTTTCTAATCCGTCTGCCCTTCTTTGCTTTATTCATGCAGAAGAGCTCAAGGCTCCCTGTGCACCCTCATTTGTCGAGGTCCTTAGCACGCACACTTCATTGAGTGTTGAATTGCTTTTTAGTCAGCTGTTTCAAATGCCTTTGTTTTTCCTCACCATAAGAGAATAAATAAATTGAAATATCTGAGCATAGAATTCATATTGCTTGTTGAATTAAATTGATTGTGGAGGAAAAGCAATGGCCCATTCTTTTCTCAACTTCTCTTTCTCACTGTTGTCTAACTGAACAATAGAAATGCTCTTTTGAATATAGTCGTGTTTTCCAAAAACTCTTCACTGAAATACTTTCTAAAGTGAGACAGCACAAAAGATGGCACACTGACCCAGCATCATCACTTTGAGTTCCATAATGAGAAATTGACTTCTTTATGAATTGTCTTTCAATCCTGATCACATGAAGAAGAAAATCTTAATTCAGTGTTGGTGTGTATTTAACACTCTTCACACTGCCCTTTGCTTTTTCTCTATTTTTTTTAACAGAGAGAATGTCTACACCTCACTTTTGGAGTCTTCAGCAGAAGATAACAGTATTTACCCAAACTTTAAAGCATTGTTTTATATTCATTGTGTATATCTATGTATATAATAGCTACCTTCTATTTAAGTCCAATGATATGGTTTGTAAATCTGTTTACAGTAGTGATATAATCTTTTAAAATAATAGAAAAAGTGGTTCCATTTAAAGAAAAATATATGGATAATTGATGGTTTCATGGTACAGAAAAAACATGTAAGTTATTCAAAAACAAAGTTTGCGAGGACCTGCCCTATCACAAAGCAAATACATTAGTGAGAAGCAGAGAGTATTAACCTGTGATCCTAAACTCTTTTGTCAATGTGGAAAAGGCATTCATCACCCAGCATCCTGTAAGAGGACCCAGAAGAGGTTACTTTTATGGCCATATGAGGTGAGTAGGTGATATGATTTGGCTGTGTCCTGACCCAAATCTCATTTTAAATTGTAGCTCCCATAATTCCCACGTGTTGTGGGAGGGACCCAGTGGGAGATCAAATCATGGGAGTGGTTTCCCTGATACTGTTCTCATGGTAGTGAATAAGTCTCACAAGATCTGATGATTTTATAAGGGGCTTCCCCTTTTGCTTGGTTTATATTCACTCTTGTTTACCGCCAGGTGAGACGTGCGTTTTGCCTTCTGCCATGATTGTGAGGCCTCCTCGGCCACATGGAACCCTGAGTCAATTAAACCTCTTTTTCTTTGTAAATTACTTAGTCTCAGTTATGTCTTTATTAGCAGCATGAGAACGACTAATACAGTAGGCAAGTGGGAGTCATCAGAGTCCTGACCAGGCTTTCTGCTACATGTGTATAAGTAGTTACCCATAGCACTGGCCCCATGTCTTTGAATGTGAAGAAGAATAGTAAAAGGAATGCAACTTTCATTACATTTTAACCTGGCAGCACATCACTTTTCCCATGCCACATTGTCTTAGAAGCCATTCATACAAGGGGTTTATTACATTTTGAGATGCTGACAAAACAGTTCTCAAGTGCATTGCTCAACTCCAGTCAGACGTCACTGGCTATCATTTCAAAGTCAGTGGGTGTAAAACTTGCTGCTCCTTTCTATTTGTGAGATAATCCTGGCTCTCCCTTCCCCTCCAGGATATGGCTGCCAAAAGAAATTAATGCCTTACCTACTCCATCCACGATGACCTCCAAAACAAAAGTAAATGTTTCTTATGCTCACTGAAAACATTTCCCCAAAAGACTGCAAATAGTACAAATGCCTACTCCAGTGATGGATAATTCCAGCAACATTTTTTTTTCAGCTAAGTGAAGATAGCATCACAAGTGGGGATAAAGTGAACCGGAGTCTCTGACTTTGACGTTCCAATCCTTGATCATTCACTGCCTAACTCTGCTCTCAAACTGACCATTCAACCTCTTTTTTGGAAGTCATCTTCCTTGAAAATGAGACCTACTAGCACGTACTTCTTGCCTAAGCAACAGATAAAGTGGAAGCTGTACAGAGGCAGTAGCCATGGCCTAATCTACAGTGCAGAAGTTCTTTCCAGAATTTTTTTTCCCAAAAAAGTTCTTAAATAACACAGCTTCATCAGTGTCAAAGGCCACAGTCAGACAGGGGGCCCTTCCTTCTGCTAAAGACTAGGCCTTTGCCTTGTATGGGCTAATTTATCATACATTTTGATGTGCTTGTAGAAACAGTGGACACTTTCTTTTCCTTATATTCTTAGTTTGGTGAATATTATCTACATGAGTCATTTTAATTTTTTTTGTTTTAGTTCTCTGTTTTTGTGCTGTGAGACTCTGAATTTCCAGATAGCTGCCAAAAATGGAAAAAATATGCCTTACTTCCCAAAGACAGAGGATGCCATTTGTTACCCATCAAACATACTTTGCCTTTTGGCATCACTTGGAATATAGAAGAGACACACTCACATTTCTCCTAGGGCTGAGACTAGATAGCAAAACTTGATCTTGGAAATATACAAAGATGATACTGTTATCTTTTTCCTCAGCCATTGCTGAAGAACTGAATTTAGTTGAAATACATATTTGCTGAGCAGTAAGAAAAAGTGTTGAGAGAAAAATAGACTTCATTTAAAAGTGGCAAGACAGAAGTAGTGTCTTGTGTGGGCAAATTGGTTTGTAGGCTTGAGCCAAATAGTTTACAGAGAGTAAGAGGCATCCAGTTTTTTGGAACACCACGCCATACACTGTCGACTCCTGCTAGTTATTTCCTTCATGATTCTCTAGTGAACTGAAGAAACAAATTAACATCCAAAAGTTAACCTCTGTTTAAATAAAAACACAGCATACACCGAATAGTTAGTCATACTAAATGCTTTGATATCCCATCTTAATAAGGGACTAATTGGATTAAATTTTAATTATCCAGATATAAAGTAAAACATACAGTAGTGAATTTGTGTAACATTTATTACTATAAAAAAGATAAGTGGTTATTTATAAAATAATGTGTGAAACTTTTCTTGATCCTGAGGGGTCAAAGGAACAGGTAATGACTAATAATACTGATAAACCGTATGTGGAAGACTGTGGTGAATAAAATAAAAAGGCCCCAGGGATATTTTGTTGTGCCTGATTTGGCCCAATCTGTTGATCACCTTGGCTTTTAATGCCTCTCATTAGGAAGAGTCTTCAGCAAAGATAGCCATTAGGCAAATTACAAACAGTGTGTTAATGTATTTGATGAGGTTTTCTACTTTTCTTGCTTTGAAGCTTTGAAAACTATTTCTGGTGATTATTATAATTGAAGTCCATTTGCACACTGATTTTTCTTTATTTCTCTTTAACCTTGATTTTGGCCTCAGTCTCCACCAAGGGGAAGTAGCATTGCTGCTAATCCCATCTTGGCAGAATTATTGGGTTCCACCCCAGCAGTCACCAAAACATTCAGGTTTAGTCAGAACGCCAATTCGTCACTTCATAAAACCAAATCTTTTCTCCATCCCACAATAACCTGTTCATAGACCAAAGGGAGAGTGAAAGAGATGTGAATCAACTCACTGAATAACAGGGCCAGGCCCTCCCAGATGTGGAGAGGTCTGAGACACTTCCATTTTTTTTCCTTGAAGATTTAAAATAAAATGAAGAAGAAAGAAGTGTCAGAACAGAATAGCAAACATTATAGCACATTTTAAGTACTTAAAATCATGCTTTAAACACATAAAAAAATAACCTTTTTGGAAGGCAAGAACAAATGACCCAACTAAGGCCCTTTGTGAATATAAGGCCCTGGCTAAATGGCCCTCCTGAGGATCCTTATCTCTCAACCATCATAGCTGCTGCTCAGAGGTGGATAGAAGTTTCAGGACCAGTTAGACTAATTTTATAAATAAACAAATGTGAAGAATGTAAATGATGTGCTTTAGAGCACAGCCAAGTAGCTGATGAAAAAGCATATGGCAATGGGCTCTCTTTGCAGGTGGAAGAAACATGGAAGGCACAGAAGAGTTTTTGGGTGTGTGGAAGGACTACTTGGAATTGATAAGGTGATGAATACTGAGAGCATCATTGCAGTGAAAATAAATATTGTGCAAAACCACCATAAAATGGACTGAGTCATGCCCAGATGTGGCTAATCAGGACTCCAGATTGATATTTCCACATGATTTCAGTAAGAACTGCAATTATGATGTTACTTCCTGAGATGGAGGAAAGACAGCTTCCTTTTTTTTTTTGAAATTTCTTATTTCTAGTATTCTTATTCCGTCTTTAGTTCTCCAGTTGGGAATCTATGTGAGAGCCCTGTGGAGACAGATGACAACCTTTTCCATGGAATTATTAAGCTAGAAAGCAAGGATGTTAGGATTTGATTTTGACTCAGTCTTTTGTGAGACACACTCTTCTTTGAGTCATGCTTTAATAATTTGGAACTCAGCAATGACTTTATTTATTTCGGGGAATTTTACTTTTCTAGAGAGCCAGAATAATTCTTCCCTTTTAGATATCACAAGCAGACACTGGAAAAAGCAGACACTGGAAAAGCTGCTTTTTGTATCTTTCTCATAGGATTCTGGGCTCCTCAGCAACTTGGCCAGCCATCTTGAATCGAAAGTTGGGCAAGTGCTATTGGCTCTGTTTCCTCATAGATCATTTCCAGCTGTTACCTCAACACAAATATGACACCTCCTGAATTCAAGAAAACTTGAACTTTTCATTGGATCCCCATATAAAGATTGGATGCGATGATTAAAAAGAAGTGTCCAATCCTATGCTGTGAGAATGTCAAGATCTGGATATTACTCTACCATTAGTGGGAATCTAACTTGATACAAATGTTCTAGTAGGCAATTTGGCAACACAAATAAAAATCCTCAAAATTTTTAAAATTCAAGATGGCAGACAGAACACATGCATTAACCTCCCATTTCTTCCAAGATTTTTGCATTAAACATGAATATATATAATAGAATACTCCTTTATATGTATATGTCTCAGAGTTGAGTAAGGAAAATTAAGTCAAATAGTTCAATAGAATTCAACACAGGGAACTATGTATGAAGTTGTAGGAATATCTAAAAAGCCAGATAAATTGGGGACACCCACTACCACCACTAGAGCTGAAGCAACCAAGGGAGAAGGCATTGCCAGAGCCCAGGATCCAGGACTGCCTGGCAGGAGCTGGAACCATGGATTAAGGGGCTGTTTGGGGTCTAAATGAGATGGAAGAAATGTAGCCACATCAAGAGAGGCTGCCCAAGGCAGAAAGAAATGGAAGAAATATCCTGCCGTTGTCATTCTTCCCTCTCTTCAATATCCCACCAGCATTTCCCAATGGCTGAAGCTGTTGGAAGCCAGTTGGCAAGAAAATGTCATTTGCAGGGGTCAGTTCCCTGTGGTAAAGAGCAGAGTCTGGCACAGCAGACGAGAGAGTAGCGTATGTGCATCCCTAAAGGATGAGACATTTAAAAAATTCCTGGAATATGAAAATTAAGTGGGAGCCATTTAACAGAAGCAAAGGGCAGAGAAATTGTCAGCCTACAATAGACTCTGAGAGCTCTGCAGAAGAAAAGAACAAATCTGCCTGTGGAATCCCAGAGATGCCCTGAGTGCAGAAGATAAAATCAGAGAGAGTACTTCAAGGTCTGACTGTCCCAGAATTCTTCCAGTCGGTGCCTCGTTGCCAGTGTATACAACAGTGAGAAGTCTTCCAACAGTTTACCTGCAGGCAAAATATATGATGAATCCTTACTAAAGAAACTGAGCAAACTGTGAAAAGTGAAAATTTCTGAATTTACAGGTGCCTCAAAGAAAAGCCATTATCATTCGGGCATTTGCAGAAACTCAGCATGACAGCGAGCTCCCAATCCACTGATCCTACATCAAAGTTACCAGTCATTGCCTGGCCCATTGCAGCAACAAATTCCAGTAAGAAAAAAAAGAGATCTATTACGAAAACAATCTTACACAAAAGTGGAAACATCTACTCCGTCAGCTCAGTCCACTCTTCTTAATAAGAGTCAGAAATCACTAGCATGTAAAGAGAACTAGCAACATAAAAAGAGAAATAACAAATTTTACAAAGTAGAAAAATAACTTTGGAGTAAGATGAAATTATTTAGGTAACACAAAAGAAGTTAAAAATCATTCTTATAAATGTTTTCCAAAAGATTCAAGGAGGCCAGGCGTGGTAGCTCATGCCTGTAATCCCAGCACTTTGGGAGGCCAAGGCAGGAAGATTGCTTGAGGCCAGGAGTTTGAGACCAGCCTGGGCAACATGGTGAGACACCTCCATCTCTACAAAAGAATAAAAACAAAAGATTCAAGGAAATATTACACCTACAAAACAAGAAATAGAACAATGAGAGAATGAGAAAGAGGTCTTAGAGATTTAAAGTATAATTTCCAAAACTTAAAATTTATTAGAGAGGCTGGAAAAAAACATCAAAGCAGGTTAACAAAATGTCAAACAAAAAAGTAAAAGATGGAAAATATGAGGAAGAAACTGAGAGGGCCTGTATTCAACTAACACAAAATCCAGAAAGAAGAAAAGGCAAAGTGTTAAAATTATTTCAGCAAATAATAAAAAGATACATACTAGAGCTAAGGACAAGAATCTTCCATTTGAAATGGCCCACCGAATGTCCAACTCGATGAATGAAAACAGATCTCCCACTAGCCACATTGTGATGAAGTTTCAGGACAACATAATTTAAAAAGAAGAACCCAAAAGCTTTTAGGAAGAAAAAAACTCACAAGCCATGAAGGAGAGGGGTTGAAGTTCTGCAGTAAAATTATGTTCCACCTAGAATACTCTATAATGTCAAAGATACAAGCACTAAGTACACTTACCACCTGTGTATCATCTCTTATGAAGCTATCTGAGTGTTCTTCACCAGCAGAATCTGTAAACTAGGACGGTGTAAACAGAACTGACCCAGGACAAAGTAAAGGGATCTCCCAAGTTGTGGCCAACCTAAGGAGTGACCAATCTCGAGACTAGTAGGATAATAATCCCCAGGGGATAGGCTTCTGGGACAATTTGTAGCTTGTTGAACAGCTAATATACCTTAGAGTGTGAAAAATCTAAAGAACACATAACAAGGGTGGGATGGGAAGTTATAGAAATTCCAGGGGAAAAAAATGTACAAGAAAATCTTGGTCAAATACAAGCAAACTGAATGCTGCGATTTTTAAGGAATCTGTGGACCATCACACTAGTATTCGTTAGGTGGCCCAGATTGCTGTACAAGTGCTCATAAAGAAGGTGCTGGAAGCCTAGTGCGTCACTTGGCATGGCACATATCTGTTTATGCATTAAACTGTAACACTGCCAAATCAGTTTATTAGTTTTCTCCTTAAGAGACAACCTAAGGACATAACATGGAAGATTTATTCGTGTTTGCAGGAGAGCACAGAAATGTTAACTACTTAGATTACTTAAAAGTCAAAGCAGAAAAAAAACAAGAGGTGGAACACAAGTTTTCTGAGGCGAAAGATGGAAGAAAAAATAGAACTCCAATGATCTCATCTTTTAAGGGAATGGTCAAATATGAAGAAATACTGTCAAAATTGGAGAAAAAAAACAGGAATTTAGCCATATTAACTAAAGATACAAAACAAATCAATATTAAAGCTAAAAGTAATAACATAACAAACATTGAGAAAAGAAAATAGGAGGGTATAATTAAAATGAACAAATCCTTATCTTCATCTCAGGGAGTCACTGCATATTGTCTAAAGTAAAGAAGTAAGTAGAAGAATACACATATTGTCTAGCCTTGATACTCAAATGTGTCGTCTGCAGACCAGAAGGATTGACATCACTTGTTAGAAAAGCCAAATCTTGGCAAAACCACTGAAATGGAATCTGCATTTTAACAAGATCCATACATATTTTATAAACACATTAAAGTTTGAATACCACGTTTCTGTAATAGTGATTCTCAGTCTTTGCTGTGCATTATTAGAGTCATATGGACAGCTTAAAACATTATTTTAAGAAGAGCAAAGCCCAGTCCTTACCTTAAGAAATTATGCTTTAAATGGGATGGAGCCCAGAAATCAGCCTTTTTTTTTTTTTTTATGGTTTCTGAGGTGATTCTAATATGCAGTCATGGTTAAGAACCTGTGATCTAGAATAATAGTGGTAAGTGACCAATAGAATGAAAAAACTGATTTTGAAAATTTGCTTCTGGATCTATCGGGGCAATGTGCCGAAGATAGAGAAACATGGGGAAGAAGACTGTTATTTTAATCATGAGAAAATTTATAATCTTTCACCTTCACCATGCCACATGTACTGCTTTGATATATAGATTTATCTTGCATACATGCATATTTTGATTCAGCAATTATATTTCTGGGAATATTCTAAGCACAGTAACTTATTAACTATAAAAAGTGTATGTTCATGGAAATTCATCATAATATTGTTCATAATTTTAGTAATTATGGTACAATATAAATGTTTATCAAAAGAACAATAAATAAAAATGTACAACAGAACACCATAGCACACTTGGATAATTATAAATACCTGATTAATGTATTGCTATAGGTCTACACTTGTAACAGAACTACTAGTTGTCCCTTAATATCCGTCTTTTCCCTCTTTTATTGTAACATAGCCTTTGATTTGGGGATGGTCACAGGGCCAACAGGGATGATTTTCCCACCCTCTTTTGCAGGTAAGTATATCCAGGCTACTAAATTCTAGCAATGAGATGTAGGGAAAAGTTGTGTGTGCAATTTCCAGAAAGTGTTCATTATGGAGGAGGTAGGCCCTTTTCCCCCCGTTTCGTTCTTTTTGCTGGCTTGAATGTGTCACTGGAGCTGAAGAAGTCATCCTAGACAATAAGGTGATCCAGGAGTGGGAGGCCATGCTTGCCAGAGCAATAACTAACACAGAAATAGCCTAAGCCCCTGATGCCATGAAGCACCATACCAGTCCTGAAATGCTTTTCTCCAAACTTCCACATGAAAAAACAAATCAAGTTCTAGCTTTTTAAAGCCAGAATTACCTTTCCTATTCTACTACTTGTGGCAACCTCATTCTAATAAGTACAATACTCATTAACAAGAAAAACAGTTTAAAATAAATGTATTGGGAAAAGATAAGTTGCAAATGATAATTTATTTTGGGAACAACCAGATATAAGGTAAGTAAGAACACAGACTTGAATAACACTATAGACCAATTAGAACTAACAAACACTCTGCCAAACAGCAGCAAAACCTACATTCTCCTCAAGTTCACATGGAATATTCTTCAGGATAAACCACAAACTAACTAGGCCACAAAACAAGTCTTAAAAAATTATACAAAATGTATTTTCCAATCACATTGGAATGAAACTAGAAATCAATAACAGAAGGAAAATCCACAAATATGTGGAAAGTAAACAACATACTCTTAAACAATCAGTGAATCAAAGAAGTCACAAGGGAAATTAGAAAAATACTGTGAGACAAATGAAAATAAAAATACAACATACAAAAGTTTGAGATGGTCCAGGTATAGTGGCTCATGCCTGTAATCCCAGCACTTTGGGAGGCCATGGCGGGCAGATCACCAGAGGTCAGGAGTTTGAGACCCGCCTGCCCCACATGGCGAAACCCCCCCTCTCTACTAAAAATACAAAAAAATTAGCCGGGTGTCGTGGTGGGTGCCTGTAATCCCAGCTACTCAGGAGGCTGAGGCAATAGAATCACTTGAACCTGGGAAGCGGAGGTTGCAATGAGCCGAGATTGCACCACTGCACTCAGCCTGGGCGACAAGAGCGAAACTCCATCCCAAAAAAGAAAAATTTGAGATGCAGTGAAAGCAGTGCTAAGAGGAAAGTCTATAGCTATAGATAAACATTTAGTAAGAACAAAGATCTCAAATCAACAACGAAACTTTACACCTCAAGGAACTAAAAAAAGAACTACATCCAAAGCTAGCAGAAGAAAGGAAATAATTATGATTAGAGCAGAAACAGATAAAATAGATTTTTTTAAAATCATGAAAATAAGACTACATGTTTTTAAAAAGATCAACAAAAAGAGATAAAACTAAAATAACTAAAATCGGTAATGAAAGAGGGAGCATTACATGAAATAAACAGGATTATATGAGAGTATTTTTAAAAATTGTATGCCCACAAATTGGATAAACTAGAAGAAATGGATAAACTCCTAGGAATACACAACCTACCAAGAGTGAGCCATGAGAAATAGAAAATCTGGACAGGCCAATAATTAGTAAAAATAGTGAATTTGTATAAAAACTTCCCCAAAAAAGATAACTCCAGGACCAGATGACTTCACTAGAGAATTCTACCAAACATTTAAAGAATTAACACCGGCCGGGCGCGGTGGCTCACGCCTGTAATCCCAGCACTTTGGGAGGCCGAGGCGGGCGGATCACGAGGTCAGGAGATCGAGACCATCCCGGCTAACATGGTGAAACCCCGTCTCTACTAAAAATACAAAAAATTAGCTGGGCGTAGTGGCGGGCGCCTGTAGTCCCAGCTACTTGGGAGGCTGAGGCAGGAGAATGGCGTGAACCCGGGAGGCGGAGCTTGCAGTGAGCCGAGATCCCGCCACTGCACTCCAGCCTGGGCGACAGAGCGAGACTCCGTCTCAAAAAAAAAAAAAAAAAAAAAAAAAGAATTAACACCAATCCTTTTCAATATCTTCCAAAAACTGAAGAGTAGGGAACAACTTCAAGCTCATTCTATGAGGCTAACATTACCTTGATACCAAAATCAGATAAACACACTACAAGAAAAGAAAACTACAGACTAATATTCCTAATGGATATTGATGCAAAATCATCAACAAAATACTAGCAAACTGAATTCAACAGCACATTGAAAGGACTACACACCATAACCAACTGGGATTTATTCCTGGAATGCAAGAATGGTTTAATATACAAAAATCAATCAATATAATACATCATATTAACCAAATGAAGGACCAAAAACACACAGCCATCTCAACTGATGCAGAAAAAAGCATTTGATAAGATTTAACACCCTTTCGTAATATATTAAAAAATAAACACTCAACAAACTAGGAATAGAATGAAACTACCTCAGCATATCAAGACCATACATGAAAGGCCCACAGAAAATATCATACTCAACAGTGAAAGACTGAAGCCTTTTCTTTTAAGATCAGGAACAAGACAGGAATGCCTGCCTGATATAAATATTACTATTCAATATAGTATTTGATGTCAGTCAGAAAAATTAGGCAAGAAAAATAAATTGGAAGAAGTAAAATTATCTTTCACAGATGACATGTATATGTAGGAAACTCTAAAAATTACACACACACACACGCAAATAAACCTGTTAGAACTAATAAAATAATTCATCAGATTTTGCAGAATACAAAATCAACATATAAAAGTCATTTGCACTTCTACAAACTAACCATGAACAATATGAAAAGAAAATTAAGAAAACAACTTACAGTAGCATCAAAAAGAATAAAATATTAGGAACAAAGTTAACAGATGGGTTGAAAGACTTGTACAATGAAAACTACAAAACATTACTGAAAGAAATTTTGAAAGATACAGATAAATGGAAGGATATTCCATGTTCATAGATGGGAAGGCATAACATTATTAAGATATCAATATTACCAAAGTGACCTACACAGTCAATGCAATCCTTGTCCAAATCCCAATAGCAATTTTTTCACTAAAATTTTTTAAAAAGTTATACTAAAATTCACATGGAATTTCAAGGGACCCTGAATGGTCAAAACAATTTTGAAAAAGAAGAACAAAGTTGGAGGACTCTTATTTCCTGATTTTAAAACCTATTATAAAACTACAGTAATCAAAACAATGTGGTGCTCGCATACAGACAGGCATCTGTACCAGTGGAATACAATAGACAGCCCAGAAATAAACCATCACAAATATTGTGACATAATCTTTGACAAGGTTATGGGGAAAGAACAATATCTTCAACAAATTATATTAAGAAAACTGTATATACACATGAAAAAGAATGAAGTTGGATCCTTATTTTATGTCATATACAAAAATTTACTCAAAATTGATTAAAAACATAAATGTAAGACTCAAAACTATAAAACTCCTTGAAGAAAATATAGGGGAAAATCTTCATAATATTGGATTAACCATGATTTCTTGGATGTGACAACAAAAGCACAGGCCACAAAAGCAAAAATGGACAAATGGGACTAAATCAAACTAAAAAACTTCTGTGCATCAAAGGACACACTCAATACAACGAAAAGGCAATCTACAGAATGGGAGAAAATATTTGCAGATTATTCATCTGATAAGCAATTAATATCTAGAATATATATTTTAAAAGACCTACAATTCAACAACAAAAAATCAAACAATCTGACTTTATGGGTAAAGTGAGTAAAGGACTTGAATAGGCATTTCTATGAAGAAGATGTAAAAATGGCTAACAAGCATATGAAAAGATGTTCACTATTATCAATCATCACAGAAATGCAAATTAAAACTATGAGCTATCACCTCACATCCATTAGTATGCCTAATATTTTAAAAAGTAGAAAATAACAAGTGCCAGTGAGGATGGAGAAAAATTGGAACATTTATGCACTGTTGGTGGGGGTGCAAAATGGTGAAACCACTATGGAAAACAGCACCGTAGCTCTTCAAAGAGTTAAAAATAGAATTACCATATGATCCAATAATTCCATTTATGAGTATGTATTCAAAAGAATTGAAAGAATTGGTTCTTGAAGAGATAGCTACACACCTGTGTTCATAGAAGCACTACTTGCAGTAGCCAACAGGTGGAAGCAACCCAAATATCCATCGACAGGTGAATTGATCAACAAAATATGGTACATATACACACTATAGAACAGTATTCATCCTTAAAAAGGAAGGGAATCCTATCACATGCTACAATGTGGGTGAACCTCGAGGGCATTATGCTAAATGAAATAAGCCAATTCACAAAAAGACAAATACTGAATGATTTCACTTACACGAGGTATCTAGAGTAGTCAAATTTATATAAACAAAAAATAGAAAGTTGGCTAAAATGGGGGGAGAGAAAAAAGAGAGTTGTTTAATCGGTATAAAGTTTCAGTTCTACAAGAGAAAAAAATTCTGGAAATCTATTTCACAACACTGTGAATAAACAACATTGCTGAACTGTACACTTAAGATTAAGATGGTAGATTGTATGTTATGTGTTTTTAGCACAATAAAATATGTATTTTGATAAACAACAACTCAAAGTCTGTGACTTTGAATGCCCATGGGGGGAGGGGGGAGGGATAGCATTTGGAGATATACCTAATGTTAAATGACGAGTTACTGGGTGCAGCACACCAACATGGCACATGTATACATATGTAACTAACCTGCACGTTGTGCACATGTACCCTAAAACTTAAAGTATGATTTAAAAAAGTATTATAAATAGGAAAACAAAACAAGTATAGAAGAGTATACAAAAAAATGGTCATAATAACTAGCAACACTACAATTGAAACTTCTTAACTTTCTAAATTCTCTGAGATTTGTACAGTAGGCATAAAATATTTTTATAATTATAAAAAATGAAGCTGTTTCCACTTTTAAAAATACAAAACAAAACTTCTATTGGGACTTACAATGAGTGAATGACTTATATATGGGAAACCTGTATTTGCCAAAGAAGCAATTACATTCTCCTGAGAAATTCAAGACTCACCACCCTCTAGGGGACCTTTGTGTGGTGTTTGATTCCTCTGGGACAGTCGGGTCTTCTGTCTAGTCCAGGGACGAAGAAGCAAAAGCTAGGTAGCCCTCTAGCACACAAAGTGAAAAAGCTAGCTGTCTTCAAAGAACAATTTTGTTTCACAAATTTATTTAACTTCAAAAACCTGCAAAGCAGAGGTGGACATGGCAGGAGGAGGAGCCGGTTAGGATGGGGTGGGGGGATTAATTGCTTTAGACAGAATTTCCCAGCCCAAGTGTACACTGACATTTTAGCTTTGTGTTGCAATTCTTTTATCTTGACCCAGACTGGGTACCCTGAGTCACAGTGACAAACAAGTGGGTCATTACATCATTATTGTTTTATGACTATTTGTGCATGTCCTTTTGGTTCTTGAAGCTATAGTCTGTCACGACACTGTCTTGTGCTGAAAGGGGATCATTAACAATTTTTCCCTTATTTAAATGATTGGCCAGATGAAGCATCCATAAATGTGGCAAAAAGACAAGTTAAACTAGATAATAATCTCTAATATTATTAAAACCAAATGTTTAGAAAAGGAATTTCACTTTAAACATCAAAATGCCTCTGTTCCTCGGTGAAACTTTTTGATTCTACCAGATACTAAAGTCTATCAATAAGCTAATGTACATCACTATCAGCAAGTTCCTGAGTGATACTTGTCTTGGACTTCTTTTGTGGTATTTAACC
The DNA here is from genome assembly GCF_000001405.40 of Homo sapiens. Classification (NCBI taxonomy): domain Eukaryota; kingdom Metazoa; phylum Chordata; class Mammalia; order Primates; family Hominidae; genus Homo; species Homo sapiens. Next base: position 83,387,629 of record NC_000005.10, read on the forward strand.
ATTCTAACAAGAATGGCACCATATACCAACACGGAGTGCTTTTCAACACCGCCCCCACCCCCCAAATTAGATGGTATGGTAAGAATCTTGGCAATCCAGCATTACTAAACAACAAAACACAGAAAAATTAATAAGGGCATTGTAAAATAAAAGTAAGTTACTTATATTTCCATCAAAATACTTAACAAGTCTTATCTTCAATCTAAGGTTAGAATTACAGCACTAGCCTATTTCCATTCCTGTTATGAGGTTTGAACATACTTACTTTAGCACATCATTCCCCATCTTTTCTCATTTTGGGGTCTTCTCTGTTTTTAAGAAAGAAATCTAAAATGTCACATTTCTAGCTCCCTTTTTCCTTCCCATAACTCATTTTCTCAGTTTGGAATACATTGTCAGTTTTTTGCAGGAGTGAATATAGTTGCCGAAGATAAAAGTTGTTTTGACAATTTAGTAATGGTTTTTGCACTATAAGTGATATTATTTTCTTTCTTTTCTTTTCTTTTTTTTTTTTTTTAGATGGAGTCTTGCTCTGTCACCAGGCAATCATTAATGATATTGGTTGTAATTTTAGAGTTATAAAAAAAATAAGAAAATGGGGAGAAAGAAAAGGGGGAAACAGGAAGAAGATAAAGGAGAGAACAGAAAAAGAAGGAAAGAAGAAAGGCAGGAAAGCAGGAAGGAAGCAGCAAGGGAGGAAGAGAAGGAGGAAGACAGACAATCACAAAGCAGACTTTTCAGGTAACTGTTTCTTCCAGTATTAGCAATAGTCCAGACAAGTTAATTGAATTTCTTCCCCAAACCCAATTTGAACAAATTCTCAGATCTTCAGAATAAAAATAAAACACATATAAAAATGATCCACAGTTGTTTTATTCAATCTGAGTGTTTTTGCTGAATCCTAGAGACAGAGAATGTTGCTACAGTTTTTTAAAACATAATTTTTAAAAAATATCAAGTGAAGAAAAAATAAACATATTTTCTTAGTGCCTCCAGGATAATTTGGGTAGCAAGCCACATGAAATTTTTGAGTGAAACAGTGCTGACATAGAAAACATTCTCAGTATCTGGGTCTTTAAAAATTGTGCTAAGCTTGCAAGTCCACAGCAGCTCAAGAGTAAGAACTTTCTCAGGATGTTTGTTGGTTTTTCCTTAGTTTATATGTAGCCAGCTGGTTTCTGACCTCTTTGTGTAAATATCCAGCTTTTCACATAATCAGATTCCATATTACCTTGTTATGACATCATTCTGGGCAGGCTTTGATCCCTCACTAACATTTTCAAACTATGCACACAAACTTAAATAACAATAAGAAGACTGCTACTTACCCAATAAATACTACTGCTGATGTTGTATGTATATTGTGTGTGGATATGGATATAGACATGGATATAAATATTTGTTGTTTGTATATATTTGCATAATAACACATATACCTACAGAGGGGTTAGCAATATACTGAAAAGTATATCCTATTTGATTCTAAATTATTGAATATTTGAAAATATTTTGCATATTTCTTGTGAAATATACATTTATTTTAAGTTCCCTTTTACTGCAATTGTTATTGTTTAATATTTTTGTTCAACTGATATTTTTTAAAACAGGTGAATTGACGTCTAGGACTTAGAGACCCTGTTATATATTTTTCCACCTGGATAGATAAAAATAAAGGTTAAGCTATATTCTTTGGCAATCCAGGGGCCAAGATATAAAAGACACAATGATCTTCTAAATAACTAAGAAAATGGCTTATTTAGTGTCTGATTAAGATAAATGACACAAGGCAGCTGTAAAAAGAATTCCCACTAGCCATTGACCCACAAAACTGTGGAGTCATTTTTCATTTTTAGAAAAGTATCAAAATCAACTTAAATTCACAACAAACCTTTGGAGTTATAATGAAATGTCCTAAATTCTGCTTCAAATGGTATTGACTAATGTTATTTTTGAAGTTAAAATACACTAACACATTCTGATTTCTATAGAACTTTGACGGCTGTTAAGCAGGAGTCATGTTTCTACAGGATTATTGTATCCCCAACACTAGAGCAGTGCATAGTACATAATAGTGGTCAATAAATATTGTTGAATAAATGAATGAATTAAATAGTAATAATATATTAGCTTGTGGAGATTTGAATACTAAAAGTAATGTCACCCATACCAAAAAGTCATAGAGCTAATAGATATATAATATAATAATAATAAATGTTTATTTCCTGCTTTTCATGTGCCAGGCATTATGGTAAGTGCTTTATATGCATTCTCTTATACCAATGATCCTATTACCCCTATAAAAGGTAATGGTTAGGCTATCTCATGTGAGAAACTCTGGCTAAGAGAATAGTACTAATGTGCTCAAGGTCACACAGCTAATAAATGATGAAGCTGAAGTTAAAAGTTAAGTCATCCTGGCTCCAGAAAATACATTTTTTTAAAAACCAACTATGCTCTCTGTCTCGACACACTGTGGTTTCATGGTAACTTTATTATGGTCTTTAAGTTCAGTCATGAACTATAGCTATAAAGAAAAGAAAAACTATATTTTACTACTTCCAGAGAATGGCTTTCATGAAGCATTAAATTTTCTACTAACAGGTTAAATGTTTTTATTAATATAGTGTGTAGAAATTGCTCAATAATATTATGCTTTTTCTACATAGTACATAGGAATTTATCCTGTAAATACATTTTCACAAATGAGAAGTAGGTATAAGGATTTAACTACTGCATTTTTTTCATAATAACAAAAAACTAGAAATAATCTCAATTCAACTCAGTAGAGGCCTGGTTAAGCAAATTATGAATGTGTACTGGATTGCTACCCAGTTATTAAAAAGATTGATGGATGAAATTCCAAGATTGAAAAGAAAACAGCAAATTTCACATGAGTATGCATTAATCCATTTACCTATCTTATTGTGCGCTATAAAAAATGTGTACTTTTTACCCACTTTGTAATCTTCTGTAATATTTAGATGTTTTCCATAAGTGTATAATATTTTTTCAATTAAAACAACACTTTTTATAAAAAGCATTTTATCTGCATAAGGAAAAATGAAATAGCACGCAGTTCTGTGACATGTTTCAAGCTTCATGATTAGATTACATCTAAGGACAGTAAATGTATACCCACAGAAGCCCAGAGCAACCATAAGATTTATTTAAACATTCAAAAATTTGTTTAAAATTACCAAAATTAATATAAACTTTCCGGATGGAAAGTTTGCTCTTTTTGTGTTAAACAAACAAGAAAATAAAGATAATATTTTAAATTACCATTACAAAAAAAATACTAACTAATCAATTTGTTTTTGGATAAGGTGCTTGGATTTTGAAGCAATAAAATTCAGAAAATTTTGCTGATACTAGGGATGATGAGGAAGTAATGTAAAATGGATGAGACTACAGACATTGGAATCAAGTAGATCTAGTTCATCCAAGTGCTTGACCACTTCTCAGATGTAACCTTAGTTGAGTATTTAACTTTTGTAGGCCTTATTTTCCTCATTTGTAAAATGTGGGTATGAATCATACCCTGTGTGGAGCTTTAAATGATGTTGGTATACATGATGTTATAGGTCAGCAGGAAAGGTGGGGTGGGAGGGGAGAGGTTTACATGCTAGGTTCAACATTTTTTTTTTTTTTCCTATCTTGGTGTCACAATATTTTAAGCATCTGGATTCACAGCAATAAGGAATTACCAATGGCAATGCTAAGGAAAGATGGCTGGCTAGATTACTGCCAACAGGTACAACGTTTTCACATTTTTAACATTTTTTAAATACTATTTCTAATATAAATTTTATATTTTACTAACTGTATCTTTTTATTTACCAGCCCAATTGCTTCTTTATTTAACATACTCAATGGACCTCCAATCAGGTTGTTTTATTGAAGGAGGGAAATATTCATCAAACAACATTTTCAGGGAAGAAAGATATGGCTGATGCTTTTTTTTCCCTTTTAAATCATTAATACTGTTAATTACTGTCCAGTAAAAGAAGAGAGGCAAACATTTCACAGGAAGCAATGAGATCAACTCTCTGCATCCAATACTCAAACTTCATTCACAGTTGCAGCGTTCCCATCGCATAGTGAAACATTCGTAGTTCAGCCGTGGAGTTGTCAACTGACTTCGGAGAAAAGTCTACTAAATAGGCCAGCTCTTTGAGCCACTCTTTGTTATTAGAAGCACAATTAATTCACTAATCCTATTCAGAATTTTACCGTTTGTCATCATGTTATTTATTTATTTATTTATTTCTTCACAAGGAAAAACATGTTTCCAATCTGGACCCAAACACATGATCATCTCTTTACTTGGGATAAGCTAGTATTGAGTCTACATAAGTAAAGCCAAGTTTTGAAGTGACTTCCTATATTCACTCCAACCCCAAAATAGAAAATTACCGTGTTCTCCAAAATGTACCATTTCACTTACACGGAGTTCATCCTAAAATATTGGGAGATACATGAGAAGTGATATGGTCTCAGTGTGTGAGGCAAAGGGTGCTGAGACACTCAGGCCTTGATGGGCAGTTTCCTCTTAGGATAAAGTCCAAATACTTTCCCATGACTTGTGTAATTATTCGTGAGTGGCCCCTGCTGTTTTCCACTTCATTCCTTCTTCTCATTTCATTTCTCAGTTTCTCTACATGGACTCATTTCCTCATGTGCTAGGAGGCCTTTGAAAGTACAATTTCTATGGCCTGGAACCATTTCCACTTTAACTATTCTATGTGACTTCTCTCTCACTCCTACTTTTTACTCTTTCTTCATCTTTCAGCCAAGTTGTCACTTTCTTTGGGAAGACTGCATGGGCCCTGACTGGGTGAGGTAGCTCTTCAATATGCTTCTTGTATTAGAGTTCTCCAAAGAAAGAGAACCAAAAGAAATTTTCTTGAGAAAATTCATGAGAAATGAATTGAGAAATTTCATGAGATTAGGAGGGCTGAGAAGTCCCACAATCTGCTGCCTACAAGCTGAAGACCCAGGAAAGCCAGCAGTATAACCATTCAGAGTCCGAAGGCCTGAGCCCACGGGAGCCCATGATGTAAATCCCAGGATGAGAGCAGGGAAGGATAAGTTCAGATGTCCCAGCTCATGCAATGAGGCGGGAAAAAGGGAATGGATTTCTCCTTCCCTCGCCTTTTGTTCTATTCAGAACCTTAACAGATTTGATGATCCCCATGCACACTAGGGAGGGCAACCTACTTTACGGAGCCCACTGGTTCAGAGGCTCATTTCGTCTTTAACATAATTAAAATGCTGTTTAATCTAGGCACCTTCTGGCCAATCAGGTTGACACATAGAATTAATCATCACACTTACATGTTTACGAATATTTTTGCTCTCCCAATGCAGTTATCACAATATATTAGAAGGTCTGTGAGGGAGGAGACCTCGTCCTTCTTGTTTACTGATGAATTCCCAGTGCTTATCACAGTGTGCCTGGCATAAAGGAGGAGTTTAATACATAAGTGAATGAATACTGTATTTTTTAATACTGAGCATCTAAAAAGCTTCTTTACTCCAGAGCTTCAGAAGAAAACATGAGATAAGTTGACATTGAAAAGTAGGATTTTTGTGTAACCAATCGATTCACTAATGATTCACACAACGGCATGTATGAATCTTAATTGCATTTTGTTAAATGAAAGAGCCAGACACAAAAGACTACACAGAGAATGATTCCATTCATATGTCATTGTGGAAAATGTAAAACTAAAGGAACAGAAAATAGGTCAATGGTCTCCAGGGGTTCTGAACGGAGGGATGGGGAAATTCACTGCAAAGTGGCAGCACAGGGGCATCTTAGGATGGAATTGTTCTGTATGGTACCTGTGGTGTTGGCTCCGTGACTCAATGTATTCATCAAAACTCAGAGCTGTACAGTGTCAACCTGTATGCAAATGCAAAACATATTAACTAGGATGTGGGAAAACCCAGGATATGAAATCTGACATTAACTATACTACAAATGAATTGTATCAGATAACTTCATTGAAGGGTATAGGGAAGAAAGAGCTGACCTAAGTAATTTTAACAAAATGTTTTGACTGATACTGTAAGGTTAAATATAAAGGAAACTCTGTGTCAAAACTTGATGTTAGTTGGTAAATTTATTTCTCATGGGGTACAGTTTAGAAGTCCTTAGTGTATATAAATACATTGTGATGCCGAGAGCCACTTTTCTCACTGTTAGAGAAGGAATCTACAAATAAAAGAGCAAAGGCTAGAATGAAATCTGTTATACTGATTAGAGTCAGAGACATCAGAATAAACTCTTGTTTATTTAAATAGACTATATAGATATAAAGCATATAAATTAAAATATATGTTTGCATCCATATAGGCAAAGAGATACAGAAATATATACATTTATACAGGTGTTTATATACACACAGATATGCATATAAATATATATTTTTTCTGTGTGTGTGTGTATATATGTATATATATATACAGAAATAAATGTATTTCCTAGATATTTTTTCTGAGAGGGCCTAGAAATAGCGAAACATAAATAGAAACAAGCACTTCAAGCTCATTGATTTCTAAATACCATTCTCTAGTAAAATCAATTAGGATTCCTTGAAGAAATTGCTGATTCTACGACTGTGGGAGGAAAGATACATGATGAGCCTGGAGCATCTTGTAGCATCAGAACATAAGGAAATAGTCATGCTTAACAACAAGGATATGCTCTGAGAAATGCACCATTAGGCAATGTTGTCATTGTGTAAACATCGTAGGATGTACCTATATAAACCTAGATGGTATAGCCTACCACATACCTAAGCTATGTGGTATGGCCTATTGCTGCTAGGCTATATACCTGTACAGCATGTGGCCATACTAAATACTGTAGGCAATTGTAATAGAGTATTAAGTATTTGTGCATCTAAACATATCTAAACATAGAAAAGATACAGTGATAATACAGTATAAATGATTTATGTATTTATTTATTTTTTTGAGATGGAGTCTCACTCTGTCACCCAGGCTGGAGTGCAGTGACACAATCTCGGCTCACAGCAACCTCCACCTCCCAGGTTCTAGCGATTCTCCTGCCTCAGCCTCCCAAATAGCTGGGACTACAGGCGTGAGCCCAACAAGCCAGGCTAATTTTTGTATTTTTAGTAAAGACGGGGTTTCATCATGTTGGCCAGGCTGGTCTCAAACTCCTGGCCTCAAGTGATCTGCCCACCTCGGCCTCCCAAAGTGCTGGGATTACAAGCGTGAGCCACTGCACCCGGCATAAATAATTTTTTTTTTAATGGTATACCTATATAGGGCATTTACCTAGGAACTTGCAGGACCAAGAGTTGCTGTGAGTGAGTCAATGAATGAATATGAAGGCCTAAGACATTACTCTGTGCAACTGTAGAATTACTTTATAAACACTGTATACTTAGGCTACCTTTAATTTATTCAACGTATTTTTTCTTTAATAATAAATTCACCTTAGCTTACTGAAACTTTATAAACTATAAAATTTTCTTTTTTTTTAACTCTCTGACTCTTTTGTAATAACACAGCTTAAAAAACAAACATGTTGTATATCTGTACAAAAATATTTTCTTTATATATGTCCTTATTCGATAAGCTTTTTTCTACTTAGGTTTTTATTGTTTTTTTTTAACCTTTTTTAACATTTTTGACATAAACTAAGACACAGACAATAGCCTAAGCCTACACAGGGTCAAGATCATCTTCTACCTCCACATCTTTGCCCACTGGAAGGTCTTCAGGGGCAATAACATACATGGAGCTGTCATCTTCCATGATAACCATGCCTTCTGGAATACCTCCTGAAGGACCCATCTGAGGATCTTTTACAGTTAACTTTTTTGTGTGTGAGTTGAAGGAATAAATTCTAAAATAAGATTAAAAGTACAGTATAAATAGTAAATACATAAACCACTAACATAGTTGTTTGTTATTATTATATACCTTATATAATTGTATGTGCTATAGTATATGTTGGTTTGTTTACACCAGTATCACTGCAAACATGTGAGTAATGCATTGCCCTACAACGTCATGATGGCTACAACATCACCAGGTGATAGGAATTTTCAGCTCCATTATAATCTTATGGGGTCACTGTCGCATATGTGGTCTATTGCTGACTGAAACATCATTATGCAGCACATTACTGTAATAATAAGTGTTTTATACCAGTATGCTGGCATGTCAAAAGTATATAAGAGACAACCTGAAAGAGCTACCAATAGCTAAGCTATAAGAAATTTGAGGCTGGGTATGGTGGCTCACACCTGTAATCCCAGCACTTTGGGAGGCCGAGGCAGGTGGAGCACCTGAGGTCGGGAGTTTGGGACCAGCCTGACCAACATGGAGAAACCCTGTCTCTACTAAAAATACAAAATTAGCCAAGGGTCATGGCACATGCCTATAATCCCAGCTACTCGGGAGGTTGAGGAGGGAGAATTGCTTGAACCCGGGAGGCGGAGGTTGCGGTGAGCCAAGATCACGCCATTGCACTCCAGCGTGGGCAACAAGAGCAAAACTGCATCTCAAAAAAAAAAAAAAAAAAAGAATTTGAGCAACTAAATAAATAACTTTATTGGATTATAAACCACAGAATAGATAATATCCATGAGTCCAGACACGTAGAAATAAATGATTAAATAAACAAATAAACAGACGAGTGAGATTAGACAAATATTCATTTTGGAATAATTCCAGTTAATAAATATAGAAGGAATTAAGGAAATAGAAAATCATCATTAGAACCCACAGTAATATTTGCTGCAGGCAAGATCTAGGGACAAATGTAAAAATTCGTGAGTGAAATGTTAAGGTAAAACAGGATGTTTGGCCTCAAAGTATTTCCCTCAAAATATGTATTAATTATCGTGGTAGTTTAAAAATATGTCCACAAATCAAGGATGTGGAGTTTAATTTCTCTCCTTTTATATGTGAGCTGAACTTAGTGACTTGCTTCTAATGAATAGAATAGGGAAAAGGAAAAAAAGTAATTTTACATTCAAGAAACTTGTCAGACACCAGGTTAACCAACAGATCTTGGTTAACACCACCAGGAATGAAACATATCAAAACCATGTGCTTTTTGATATGATGTACTGAGAAGGGCACATCACTTCTCCATAGAATTTTCTTCCCCCAAACCCATAACCTCAGTCTAATCATGAAAATACCAGACAAACCCAAATAGAGGGACATTTTGCAAAATACTTGACCACATAGTGTTACTGTGATGAAAGATAAGGAAAGACCAAGAAATTGTCACAGACTGGAATACACTGAAGAGACATAACAAGTAAACCTCATGTGTTATCATGAACTGGATACCAGAACAGAAAAAGACGTTAGTGGGAAAACTGGGGAAACTTGAAGAGAGTTTAGTACCAATGTTAATTTCTTAGTTTTGATAAATGTACCATAGTTATGCAAGATGTTAAGGATAAAGGGAGCTGGGTGAAGGGTATATGGAAGCTCTCTGTACAATTTTTGCAACTGTTCTATAAATCTAAAATTATTTAAAGGAAAAAGTAAAAAAGAAAAAAGGAAGGATATTGGGAAGTTAATTGAATTCTTGAGTTCACAGGAGTATCAGACTCAAGGGCCACACAGCCATAAGTAATGTCCCAAATGATACAGTGAAACTGACCTGCCTGGTACAGTCCTCCCTCAGTATCTGTGGGGGTTTGGGAGATTGGTTCCAAGACCTCCCTCTTTAAAATCCACAGATGCTTCAGACCCTGATATAAAATGGCATAATATTTACATTTAAGCTATGCACATCCTTCCATATACTTTAAATTATCTCTAGATTACTTATGATATCTAATTCAATGTAAATGCTATGGAAATAGTTGTACTATATTGTTTAGAGAATGTTAACAAGAAAAAAGTCTGTACATGTTCAATACAGATGCAACTTTTCCCCCCAAATATTTTCTGAGAGTAGTTAAATCATGAATGTGGAACTCACAGACACAGAGGGCCTACCTACCGTATGTCACTACTACTGCTGCTTGAACTGTCAACATGACTGGCACAGGACATGAGATTCTTTTACAGGGATTGTGGCCACCACTGCCTTGGAAATGGGATCTTATTGCAATTGTCACTGACTCTAGAAATATTTATCTGAGACTTTACTTCCTTGTGTCAATGGCCCTCTATTGAAAACAGGGGGTGTGTCCTATGATTAGTAGAGGCCAGGTAATGTGCCTATGCTTAGTTTTAAGAGAAGCTGGGAAGAGAAGCATCAGGCATTTTTCCAGTTTCTCTAATGGGAGAAGGTGCCAAATATATGACGGGAGTTCAGATACTTGGCAGCCAAGAAGAATGAAAAAAAATCTAATGTATTTTGTGAATCTGATGTTGGTACAATTAGAACTTTCAAGCCATGTAAAAGAAATCTTTGAATAATTTGATTCAGTATATCTAATTGTGTCAACAGAAAACTAGATAGAAAAATTAAGTAGAGAGAAGACTGCTTTTTTTAAGCTTTGTAAGGTATATGTTTTGATTTGACTTTACTTTCTAGTATTCACTCTCTTACAATTGCTCATTTTTCTGTATCATCTGTCCAGGCTCTTCACTGAAAAAAAAAAGAAAGAAAAAGAAAAAAGAGAGAAACACTGAGCTGTTTGTTCACAGGTAAAAATATTTCTTCCCCTCTCATTAAAGATAATTTTTCTGGTCACAAAGTTTCTTTTTAATGTTTACATACACATTGTTTATTATTTGCTAATAAAATGTATCAACAATGCCATCCCCATCAAGCTACCAATGACTTTCTTCACAGAATTGGAAAAAACTACTTTAAAGTTCATATGGAACCAAAAAAGAGCCCGCATCGCCAAGTCAATCCTAAGCCAAAAGAACAAAGCTGGAGGCATCATGCTACCTGACTTCAAACTATACTACAAGGCTACAGTAACCAAAACAGCATGGTACTGGTACCAAAACAGAGATATAGACCAATGGAACAGAACAGAGCCCTCAGAAATAATGCCGCATATCTACAACCATCTGATCTTTGACAAACCTGACAAAAACAAGAAATGGGGAAAGGATTCCCTATTTAATAAATGGTGCTGGGAAAACTGGCTAGCCATATGTAGAAAGCTGAAACTGGATCCCTTCCTTACACCTTATATAAAAATTAACTCAAGATGGATTAAAGACTTAAATGTTAGACCTAAAACCATAAAAACCCTAGAAGAAAACCTAGGCAATACCATTCAGGACATAGGCATGGGCAAGGACTTCATGTCTAAAACACCAAAAGCAATGGCAACAAAAGCCAAAATTGACAAATGGGATCTAATTAAACTAAAGAGCTTCTGCACAGCAAAAGAAACTACCATCAGAGTGAACAGGCAACCTATAGAATGGGAGAAAATTTTTGCAATCTACTCATCTGACAAAGGGCTAATATCCAGAATCTACAATGAACTCCAACAAATTTACAAGAAAAAAACAAACAACCCCATCAAAAAGTGGGCAAAGGATATGAACAGACACTTCTCAAAAGAAGACATTTATGCAGCCAAAAGACACATGAAAAAATGCTCATCAACACTGGCCATCAGAGAAATGCAAATCAAAACCGCAATGAGATACCATCTCACACCAGTTAGAATGGCGATCATTAAGAAGTCAGGAAAGAACAGGTGCTGGAGAGGATGTGGAGACATAGGAACACTTTTACACTGTTGGTGGGACTGTAAACTAGTTCAACCATTGTGGAAGTCAGTGAGGCGATTCCTCAGGGATCTAGAACTAGAAATACCATTTGACCCAGCCATTCCATTACTGGGTATATACCCAAAGGATTATAAATCATGCTGCTATAAAGACACATGCACAAGTATGTTTATTGCGGCACTATTCACAATAGCAAAGAATTGGAACCAACCCAAATGTCCAACAATGATAGACTGGATTAAGAAAATGTGGCACATATACACCCTGGAATACTATGCAGCCATAAAAAATGGTGAGTTCATGTCCTTTGTAGGGACATGGATGAGCTGGAAACCATCATTCTCAGTAAACTATCGCAAAGACAAAAAACCAAACACCGCATGTTCTCACTCATAGGTGGGAACTGAACAATGAGAACACATGGACACAGGAAGGGGAACATCACACACCTGGGCCTGTTGTGGGGTGGGGGGAGGGGGGAGGGATAGCATTTGGAGATATACCTAATGTTAAATGACGAGTTACTGGGTACAGCACATCAACATGGCACATGTATACATATGTAACAAACCTGCACATTGTGCACATGTACCCTAAAACTTAAAGTATAATAAAAAAAAAAGCAAATAGATATTGATGCATACTTAAGCCTTAAAAATTAGATAAGCACTTTTTTTTTCTTTTTCTTCTGAGCAATGAAGACAGTGCAGATTGGTGTTTGGGCAACTCTGAGCTATTATCATCAAACCAGTATTGACAAGTTCTCCTTTGTCATTACCATATTACCTTCAGCCACATTCACAGTCTCTGCTCCTGCCTCATTTGTTCTCTTTAAAAACTTATGGATAGTCAACAGGCTTTTGAAATGGAGAGAAATAGAGCTGATAAACTCTGGCAGATAATTACATTCTTGCCTTCACAAGAGGATCTAGCTGCCACCATGATGAAGTGTCCTATGAAAGAGAAAGGCAAAAATGTCCTTCTCCGCATTATATATTAACCGTTGCCAAATTTGGAAGAAAAAAAGACATTAAGCATATTTTTGTGTGAAAAATTCAGTATAAATTCCACCACTCAACTGAAATCTTAGCTCATGATGGAGTTACCCATTTGTGCAATGAATGCTGACCTGGACTTTCCAATTATAACTCAGCCACATTGAAATATACGGCAAAGCCTGGGTAGGCTTAGGCAATAGAGAGCTGGGGTTCAGATTCATGCCTTGGAAACATGCTCTCTCAGCTGTGGGAAAAGAAGACCTCATCTCCAGGTTATTGTTGCCTCGTGAATGTTTTAGTACTAATTTAAATTTGGAAGTTTTCTTTCTTGTACATCTGAAGGTAAAAACAAGAGAATATTCTTTCCCACTGACTGAGTGAAAACTCAGAAAATACAAGTACAAACTCCAAAAAAAGGATTGTCGCAAAGAAAATCCTTATTACTGCCTCCAGCATCCCTACACAATGGGGAAAAAGGAGAGCGTGCCCCTCGCCTAGAAAATAGCTAAGAGTTATAAATCTTAGCACTCCAGGAAAGGGAAGGGGAATGACTCAAGTATTATGATACAAATGCTAATGATAACAATACAAATAGCTAACATAGACTGAGCATGTACCCTATGCCAGACATTGTTTTAAGTGCTTTATATTGATAAACTTTTTAATCCTCAAAATAACTCTAGGTACTACTTCCTGACTTAACAGGTAAGAAAGATGGGCACATCTTTTAATCAAATTGCTAAGTGACACAGCAACTGAGAGTGAAAGGCAGAATTTAAACTCAGGGACTTTACCTAGATCCCACGATGTGAGCCCTTGAGGAGTCCCAGGTCCTTCTTATGTTTGAGGGGAGGGCAACAGGTTTGTTAGTTCCTGGTCTGACTGCATGTTCTGCTCTGCCAGAGTGGTTGCTGGGAACAGTCATAGCTCTTAAAATCAGCCTGGCTTTTGCAGAGGAAGCCACGTGTGCAAATCATACACACATTTTCTCAATTTACATCACTAAACACCAACCACCACCTTTTATTTCAGTAAAGCATTTGCACCAGTGTTGAGACTCCAGCACTGTTTTAGTCAGGGTAAGTCGTTGCAGCTGCTATAAAAAGCTTTGTTTGAGGGGAGTTTTCTTTGCTGTAAAAATCTCAGTGGCCTAATGTGATGAAATCTTACTTCTTGCTCTTGTTCCTGTCTGATGCAGCTTGTCAAGGGGGCCCTGCCCCCATCAATTCATTAGAGAACCTAGTTTACTTCCATTTTCAACACAAGGCTTTTTATTATCATCTAGCAGGTAGATGAAAAAAGAGAGAGAGAATAGAGGATCTCAAGAGAGGCTGTTAGAGGCCAGGCACATGGCTTCTGCCAACAAATCATTAGTCAGAATGTTAAGAGGTTAGGAAATGTGGAAAAAAGGACAATCATGGTGAATTTGTGAGCACTGGCCTTCTCTGCTAAAAAATAAACCAAAACCAAAAACAAAAAACCAACTAATTTTATGCACTGTATTTACATGGGAGGCTTCAAATAATTTAGGACATCAAACATCAAAGGGACAAAGTATCATTTCTTTGGTCCCTGGGAAGGAAAGGGTAAAGTTCTCATTACAGAGTAGCATAACAGACTGCAATCCACTCCTATCCTCTGGGTAACACTGTGATCAGCTTGTAAACCTGGCTCTTGGCTTACTTTTGACTTCCTCTTCAAGCTCTGGTGTCAATCCCTTAAATTCTGTCAATGAAATGATCCCACCACAGCTTTCTCCACCACTAAGACACTCATGTTCCTACTGTAGACTGTCTTTTTTTGGTCTCATTGATGTTATCTTAGCAAAATGTACTGCTATTAGCTGCTCAGATTTTTTTAAATTTTATTTTATTAAAAATAAAATCGACTAATTTTTTCAGATACATTTAGCACTATATAAACTACAGAAACATGAAAATTTAAAATACTCTGAAATCATTATTTTCAATATTTGTGCTGAGTAATATAAACTAGCTCCAAACCATCAGAAAAATGCTCTGAAGTTAGGAAACTATGAGCATGTTAGGACAGCAAAATGACTTATAATGGGTGGCTCACTTCATTAAAGCATTTAGCATTTCTTATTGTGTTTGCTTTGGAAGCATCCACCTTGCTTTCATGATAATAGAAACACATAGCTGATCATCAATGATTAGTCAAGGGTCAAGGTTAAAAATTTAGACTCTGGAGACAGACTACTGGATTTTATTAACTGTGTGTCTTTGGGCAAGTTCCTCAACCTCTTCGTGCCTCAGTCTTCTCAACCATAAAATGAAGATAATAATAGTATCTATCCCATTAGAGTTGATTAAAAAGAGTAAATCAATTTAATCCTCATGATAACCTTGTGAGATAGCTACTATTACTTTGTATTGATACACGTAAAAACATGTAGAGTAGTGCTTGGCACATATTGAGTAATCAATACATATTAGCCATGATCATCATTAGCATCATCGATATTATTTTTGTCACCCTCCCAATCAAAAAATAATTTTTTCAGTTTTCACATAAAAACTATTTATTTTTGTTTCAAAATAGTTGAATACTATAACTTTAGACTGTGGTCCCCAAAGAAAGGGTAGAATGAGGATTAGCCATCAATACATCCAATGGCCAAGTCAGTGGGCTTATGCACTCATTCTCAATTATTGATTAAGGCTAGGCATGTTGACTCACAACTATAATCCCAGCACTTTGGTAGCCCTAGGCAGGAGGATCACTTGAGGCTTGGAGTTTGAGACCAGCCTGGGCAAAATCCCCATGGCTCTAAGAGCAAACTTTTGAAAACTAGCCAGGTGTGGTAGAATGTTCATGTAGTCCCAGCTACTTTGGAGGATGAAGTGGGAGGTTTGCTTGATTCCAAGAGTTCAAGGCTACAGTGAGATCAGTGAGATAGGATCAGGCCACTGCAATCCAGCCTGGACAACAGAGTGAGATCATGTCTCTAATAAATAAATGAATAAATAAATAAATAAATATTGATTGATTCATAAATTCATTCAATGAATGTTTATTACATGCCTACTATGTGCCAATATTGTAACTTTACTACTTTCTAGCTGTGTGTACTAGAGCAACTTTCTTTACCTCTCTGAGCTTGGCTTTCTTTATGTAAGAAATAGAAATAACAATATCTACTTCCATCATTGTTGTGAAGAGTAAATTCAATAAGAAGCTTCATAAAGCAGTGGCACAGCACCTGGGGCATATAATAATCTCTCAATAAATACATTATTATTCTCTCAAAAATTGATATGAAAAGGCTTTTGCTCTGAAACAGGGTTCTTTCACGCAGTTTTTCAAACTGTAGATCTTATTTGATAATTGGTGAATCAATTTTTAAATAATTTTTTAAAAGAGAATCAACATCTTAAAAATACCAACATTTCTAAAAAGAAACAGTACAGCATAATAAAATAGAGTAAAGGAAGATATTTAAATAGGATAACGCAGATAAGAGTGCATCATATGTACAAAAACTTTAGTTTCACTTATATAAATACCTACATGTATATGGGTATTGGTTGTATGTAAACCATCTTTCTTACTACAGGCTTCAGTCAAAAAAGTTTGGAAGCTTTTTAATAGTATACGAAGAGTGCTATTTTGGTTCCTTTAAGTGCCCAGAAATAAGAACACTGTTTGTGTTTGTTATGATGTGGCAGAAATAGCACACATAAGATTTTAAATAAATCAACACCAAGCTTGCTTCGTGGTTTGGTGGAAGGGGTTAAAACTATTGTCTAAAAATAAGATATCACGATTATTGATAAATTGCATTTCTCTATGCTACTTCTGCTCACTGCCATCCTACAAAATCAAAAAGTTATTTGTAATTTATATGGACATACTGTAACTTTGAAACATTCTGCATTAAACCTGCCTCCTCGTAGGTGAGGTGAAATCCAATAGTCCTCTGTTATTTCTATTATATCTACTGACACAGACTAAAGGGAAGAGAGCTGTCACCAGTCACCTGAAAAACTCAGTGAGTAATTGCCATCTCCTCAGAAGAGTCCCTTGCTCTAAAAGCCTTCAACTCCATATCTGCCGTTAGAGTTTCTTGGGCACATAGGCCTCCTGTCTCTTTTTCCAAATTAAGAGCACTCAACAGAGCTGCCCCACTGGGCACTAATGAATTCTCTGAGACTAATCTACACAGTAATGAGAACTGGAATCTGTCACTCACGCTCCCAGGAGCTAGCAGTTCACACACTGCTACATCATCCTATTAAAATAACTTATTAGCTGTGTTGCTTGTCTGCTACTATTCATCATGAAGGTGTGAGCAGAGACATGTATTTGAACAACTGATGAAATTTAATTTAAATTGTTCTCCATTTTGTTTTTATGGCTGAATGTGTACAAGCAGTAAGGAAATGTAAGCATTTTATACAGGTCATAGGTACCTTAAGGAAGTATCAACAAAATTACTGCTTTTCACCAATTAGATGAAACAAAAAAAGTGAAGTGAGAATCTATATCTCAGTCAAAATATGTGAGGAAACATGTATACCCCCATTCCTTGCATTTTTTTGTCTACCAGGAAATATTTATGCTTTCACAAGAGGCTTTCATTATAGGTATAACATATTATGCCATGAAACCACTGACAAATCATTCTTGGAGCTATACTGGAGAAGATATATTTATATGGAATAATCAGGAGTTGGGTGTAATTTTTATCACAAATCCACCAAATTAAGTAAACATTTCTTTGCTGTTTATTTTTGTCAGTAAAATATCTCAGTAAGAGCATGGGCTTTGACCTTATATGGAGGTTAAGTCCTGGCCCTCTTGTTTGATAGTTGTGTGATCTTAGGGGAAATTATTTAGCTTTTTATCTACATTTATTTCATTTGTAGAAAAATAGGAAGAAAATAATACCTATCCCATACTTGAGGTTGTAGGGAGGATTAAATGTGCTTCAGCAGTGCTTGTCTCATGGTTAAGTCCTCAATAACATCCATTAATATTAGTATAGTCACCATCATAATCCAGTCCTCCTCCACCAAAGAAAATAATCAGCAAGAAATCATTTTGCATTTTTAAAATTTTTTGTCTGCTTTTCATGGAGCTATTTGAAAACTGCAACTAAATAGTGCAGCTCAAAAAATATTGGAAAGCAACATTAAGACTTCTGATCAGCCACCCTGCGGCCTCATTCTCAACCACCTTCACTGCGGAGAAGCATTTCTTACATGCAGTGCTATAGCTCTACCCATCATTAGCTTTATAATTTTGAGCAAGTTTCTTTAACTCTCCGAGTTTCACGTTTTTCATCTTTGGGAAAGGAGTGATAATACTTCGTTTCTTGTGGTGTTAGGAAAATGACATCAAATGAAATAAACTTTGTAAAACATCTATCAGTGTGCCTAGCATGTGTAAGTACTCAACAAGCTGCAATAGTTGTGATTGTTATTATTCATGATGTCACTGACACACTGTCTGTAAGGCACAGCTCTAGATTATTTTCTGACAGTTGTTAGGTGCAGACTGTACCCTCTCTACCCTTGCTGGCTCTCTCTTATGTCCTCAAAGGCCCGCAGTCCCCAGAGGGCTACCTGGAATTGGACCGATTATAGAATAGAACTTTTCAAACTAGATCATGTCATACTTAAATAGAATTTGTAACTTTGGCCTCATTAGCTCAACCTTCTAGCAAACTACACAAAGTAGCCTATGCTGATGCCCTAGTTGTTTATTCCTAGATCACTAATTAGTTCAGTGCTGTTAAAACAATTTTTAAAATAACAGCCGAATTTATATTATTGGTGAATAATACTATTCACCATTATTTTAAACAACAGTTTTTTAAATAACAGCCGAATTTATATTATTGGTGAATACCATAAGCCACTCATAGCTTTTCAAAATTATTGGAATTTAAAGAATATTCCAAAAATAACAATCACAAAGGCATAGTTATTATATAATAGGTAGAAGAGAGTTCAGATTTTGTTTTAGAATAAATAAATTCATGAACAACTAGCAATTAAAATCTTGCCCAAATTCTATCTAAACAAACTTAAGAAAGAATTCTTTCTTACACTTTGAGCATTGGCATGAGTAGGTCCTGAGGAGTTTTATAGCCACGTGGAGCATACAAAATGAAGTGTTGGGTTTCCATTGTTTCGCATGAAATATGTCTTTCCAGACATGTGTTCCCCACAAATCTTATCACTGTTCTCTAAAATGCAATGTATTTTGTTTAAAAGAAAATTCTTAATAATCCTGAAAATGCATATAAAGAGATATCTTCACTTTTACTTTTCTTGTCTATACTCACACATCCTCAATAGGTAGCTCACTACTTTGAAGAAGAAGAAAAAATCATAATGGGAATATAATAATAATAGCAAATACTTCTATAGTGTTTCCACATGCCTATCACATACTGTACACTTTATGTATATTAAGTTATTTAAATCTTACAGCAACCTTATGAGGTAGGTACTATTTTTATCTCCATTTTTTACATTGTGAGAAAGTGAGCCACAGAACAGTGACTTTCATTTGCTGAAAGTCACACACGTAGAAATGTATAGAACCAGAAATCAAACATGATGATTCTTACCCTAAAATATCATCTGGTCAAAATTGTTACATGGCAAAAGCATTTTATATTTATTAACATTAAACATCAAATGTATAGAACATGATGATGTACATTCCTGTCTGGAAATACAGTACAGTCATGCATCACTTCATGACAGGGAAATTTTCTGAGAAATAAGTAGTTATGCAATTTCATTGTTGTATCATAGGGTATAGTTATACAAGCCTAGATGGTACAGCCTACTGCACACTTAGACTAGATGGTACAGCATATTGCTCCTAGGCTACAAACCTATACAACATGTTACTGTACAGAATATTATAGGCAATTGTAATACAAATTAAGTATTTGCACATCTAAACCTATCTAAACATAGAAGAGATATACAATAATACAGTATAAAAGATAAAAAAAGATATAGCTCTGTGGGACAATTACCATGCATGGAGCTAGCAGGACTGGAAGTTGCTGTGGTGAGTGGTGGGTGGATATGAAGGCCTAGGACATTACTGTGTGCTACATTAGACTTTATAAACACTATACACTTAGGCTATGCTAAAATTACTTAAAAATATATTTCTTTCTTAAATAATAAGTTAACATTAGTTACTGTAACTTTTTTACTTTATGAACTTCTAAATTTTTAGTTTTTTTGACTCTTTAGTAATAACAGCTTAAAATACAAATACATTGTACTGCTGTACAAAAATATTTTCTTTATATCCTTATTCTGTAAGTATTTTTCTATTACCTTTTTTTTTTTACTTTTTAAATTGTTTTGATAAAAACTAAGACACACACACATTAGGCTAGGCCTACACAGGGTCTGGATCATCCATATTACCATCTTCCACCTCCATATCTTGTCCCACTGGAAGGCCTTCAGGGGCAGTAATAGAAATGAAGCTATCATCTGCTATGATAACAATGTCTTCTTCTGGAATACCTCTTGAAGGCCATGCCTGAGGCTATTTTACAGTTACCTTTTTTTATAAGTAGAAGGAGTAGACTTCAAAATAATAAGTATAGTATAGTAAATACATCAACCAGTGACATAGTCATTTATTATCATCATCAAATATTATGTACTGTACAAAATTGTAATGTCCTGTATTTGTATTTGACTGGCAGTGCAATAGGTTTGTTTATACCAGCATCAGGACAAATATGTGAGTAATGTGTTACACTATGATGTTACAAAGGCTACAACATCACTAGATGATAGGAATTTTTTAGTTTCATTATTATCTCATTAGACTACCATTGTATATGCAGTCTGTCCTTGACCAAAAGGTCATTATGGTGCATGACTGTACTGGTATATAATTCCTAAGGAAAAAAATTCCTTCTTTCATATGGCCTGAGTTATCTTAAACTAAGCTATGTTTCTTTCCTGTTTGTGTGGTCTTGGATAATTTATATGTCTAGTTTAGATAATACAAGTAAGAGACCAGAATTTTTTAAATGGCATTATAAATATCTGACTCAAAATTGAAGGGGTTATTGGCCTTTGAAGGTGGAACAATGACTAAATGAAGCTTAGGAAAAACAATAACTATAGCTATTCTGGAAAAAGCTGGTTACAGGGATAAACCTGTTAGAGTTGACCCCCTAACATGCAGCATGCATGTGGTTTGAGAGGTGACCCTAATTCCAGCAGATGATTTAACACACATCTATCACAATGTAGGATCTTTCATATATATTGTTCATAAGTACCTTCACAAGTTCAAGTTGATTTGACTAAATCAATTGTGATCATTCCATTTTCCCTGTCACTATTGTCTGAGGAAGTAATACTTAAGCCCATCAGAACTCAACGTTTTTCTGGCTGTCATTTGCTCAGGAATGTGTGACCTAAGTTGGCCCAAACAGAAACCAATGGAGAAACTTATTCCGTGGTTGAAAGGACTTACTTTTGCTCCCACTGGAGAAAGAGCTTTGGGACAAAGTTATCTCTGTGGACAACAGAGGAAAGAGAGACTTTCTTGAGCTGCTGAATCAATAAGCCCTGGGAACCACACCACCTTTCACTTCCTTTTGAGGGAAAAATACATCTTATCATAGTTTAAATTTGTTTTGGTCTGCCTTTCTGTTAATTTGCAATCCAAACACAGCTAGGAAACTTGTCTTCACAGCTCAAAACCTGCAATATAGAGCTGAAAAACACAACATGAGAACTTCACAATGCAACCACAAGTATAAGTAACTGAATAGACCAAGCAGAGGAAAGCATTTCAGAGCTTGAAGCCTATCTTGCTGAAATAAGACAGGCAGACAAGATTAGAGAAAAAATAATGAAAAGGAATGAACAAAACCTCTGAGAACTATGGGATAATGTAAAAAGACTGAATCTATAACTGATTGGGGTACATGAAAGAGACAGGGAGAATGGAGCCAAGTTGGAAAACATACTTGAGGATATCACCCAGGAGAACTTTCCCAACCTAACAAGACCGGCCAACATTCAAATTCAGAAAATCCAGAGAACCCCAGTAAGGTACTCCTTGAGAAGATCAACCCCAAGATCCATAATCGTCAGATTCTCCAAGGTTGAAATGAAGGAAAAAATGTTAAGGGCAACCAGAGAGAAAGGCCAAGTCACCTGCAAAGGGAAGCCCATCAGACTAACAGTGGACCTCTCAGCAGAAACCCTACAAGCCAGAAGAGATTGGGGGCCAATATTAAACATTCTTAAAGAAAAGAATTTCCAACCCAGAATTTCATATCTAGCCTAACTAAGCTTCATAAGCAAAGGAGAAATAAAATCATTTTCAGACAAGCAAATGCTAAGTGAATTTGTCACCACCAGGCCTGCCTTGCAAGAGCTCCTGAAGGAAGCACTAAATATGGAAAGGAACAACTGTTGCCAGACACTGCAAAAACACACTGAAGTACAAAGACCAATGACACTATGAAGCAAATACATCAAGTATGCAAAATAACCACCTAATATCACGATGACAGGATCAAATTCACATATAACAATATTAACCTTAAATGTAAATTGGCTAAATGCCCAAATTAAAAGACACAAAATGGCAAGCTGAATAAAGAGTCAAGATTCATTGGTGTGCTGTATTCAAGAGACCCATCTCACGTGCAAAGACACATTTAGGCTCAAAAAAAGGAATAGAGGAAAATTTACCAAGCAAATGGAAAGCAGAAAAAAGCAGAGGTTGCAATCCTAGTTTCTGACAAAACAGACATTAAACCAATTAAGATTTAAAAAAAAAGAAGCAGAAGGGCATTACATAATGGTAAAGGGATCCATTCAACAAGACAAGAAGAGCTAACTATCCTGAGTATATATGCACCCAATAAAGAATTACCCAGATTCATAAAACAAGTTCTTAGAGACCTATGAAGAGACTTAGACTCCCACACAATAATAGTGGGGGACTTTAACACCCCACTGTCAATATTAGATCATTGAGACAGAAAATTAACAAGGATATTCAGGACTTAAACTCAGCTCTGGATCAAGTGGACCTGATAGATATCTACAGGACTCTCCACCCCAAAACAACAGAATATACACGTTCCTCTTCATGCCACATGGCACTTACTCTAAAGTTGATTGCATAATTGGAAGGAAATCACTCCTCAGCAAATGCAAAGGAACTGAAATCATAACAGTCTCTCAGACCACAGCGCAATCAAATTAGAACTCGAGATTAAGAAACTCACTCAAAACCACAAAACTATGTGAAAATTGAACAACCTGCTCCTGAATGACTCCTGGGTAACTAATGAAATTAAGGCAGAAATCAAGAGATTCTTTGAAACCAATGAGAACAAAGAGAAAATGTACCAGAATCTCTGGGATACAGCTAAAGAAGTGTTAAGAGGGAAATTTATAGCATTAAATGCCCACGTCAAAAAGCTAGAAAGATCTCAAATTCTCATCCTAACATCACAGCTAAAAGAACTAGAGAACCAAGGGCAACCAAGACCCAAAGCTAGCAGAAGACAAAAAGTAACCAAGATCAGAGTGGAACTGAAGGAGATTAAAACACAAAAAACCCTTCAAAAAAATCAATGAATCCAAAAGCTGGTTTTTTGAAAAAATTAATAAAATAGACTACTAACTAGACTAACAAAGAAGAAAAGAGAGAAGAATCAAATAGACACAATACAAAAGGTAAAGGGGATATCATTACTGGCCCCACAGAAATACAACCATCAGAGAATACTATAAACACCTCTATGCAAATAAACTAGAAAATGTAGAAGAAATGGATAAATTCCTGGACACATATACCCTCCCAAGACTGAACCAGGAAGAAGTTGAATCCCTGAATAGACCAATAACAAGTTCTGAAGTTGAGGCAATAATAAAGAGCCTACCAACTGAAAAACAAAGGCCAGGACCAGGTGGATTTACAGCTGAATTCCATCAGAAGTACAAAAAGGAGCTGGTAGCATTTCTTGTGAAACTATTCCAAACAACTACAAAGGAGGGACTCCTCCATAACTCCTTTTATGAGGCCAGCATCATCCTGATACCAAAACCTGGCAGAGATACAACAAAAAAAGAAAACTTCAGGCCAATATCCTTGATAAACATCAATGCAAAAATCCTCAATAAAATACTGGCAAACCGAATCCAGCAGCACATCAAAAAGCTTATCCACCAGAATCAAGTTGGCTTCATTCCTGGGACGCAAGGCTGGTTCAACATCTACAAATCAATAAACACAATTCATCACATAAACAGAACCAAAGACAAAAACCACATCATTATCTCAATAGACAGGAAATGCCTTGAATAAAATTCAACATCCCTTCATGTTAAAAACTCTCAATAAACTAGATATCGATGGAACATACCTCAAAACAATAAGGGCCATTTATGACAAACCCACAACCAATATCATAGTGAATAAGCAAAAGCTGGAAGCATTCCCCTTGAAAACTGCCACAAGACAAGATGCCCTCTCTCACCATTCCTATTCAAAATAGTATTGAAAGTTCTCACCAGGGCAATTAAACAAGAGAAAGAAGTAAAGAGTATTCAAATAAGAAGAGAGGAAGTCAAACGTCTGTTTGCAGATGACATGATCCTATATCTAGAAAACCCCATCATCTCAGCCCAAAACTTTCTTAAGCTGATAAGCAACTTCAGCAAAGTCTCAGGATACAAAACGAATGTGCAAAAATCACAAGTATTCCTATATGGTACCAACAATAGACAACCAGAGAACCAAATCATTAATAAACTCCCATTCACAATTGCTACAAAGAGATTAAAAAACCTAGGAATACAGCTAACAGTGAAGTGAAGGACCTCTTCAAGGAGAACTACAAATAACTGCTCAAGGAAATAAGAGAGGACACAAACAAATGGAAAAACATTCCATGCTCATAGATAGAAAGAATCAATATTGTGAAAATGGCCATACTGCCCAAAGTAATTTATAGATTCAATGCTATTCCCATTTAATTACTGTTGACATTCTTCACAGAATTAGAGAAAATTACTTTAAAATTCATAGGGGACAAAAAAAGAGCTTGTATAGCTAAGACAAACCTAAGCAAAAAGAACAAAGCTGGAGGCATCATGCTACTTGACTTCAAACTATACTACAAGCCTACAGTAACCAAAACAGCATGGGACGGGTACAAAAACAGACACATAGACCAATGTGTCTCAGAGATCTCAGAAATAAGACTGCACATCTACAATCATCTGATCTTTGACAAACCTGACCAAAAAAAGCAATGGGGAAAGGAGTCCCTATTCAATAAATGGTGCTGAGAGAACTGGCTAGCCATATGCAGAAAATTGAAATATGACCCCTTCTTTGCACCTTATACAAAAATTAACTCAAGATGGATTAAAGACTTATATGTAAAACCCAAAACTATAAAAACCCTAGAAGAAAACCTAGGCAATACCATTCAGGACATAGCAACTGGCAAAGATTTTATGATGAAAAGATCAAAAGCAATTGCAACAGAAGCAAAAATTGACAAATGGGATCTAATTAAACTAAAGAGCTTCTGCACAGCAAAAGAAACTATCATCAGAGTGAGCAGAAAACCTACACCATGGGAAAAAAATTCCAATCTATCTATCTAATATCCAAAATCTACTAGGAGCTTAAACAAATTTATAAGAAAAAAACAAACAACCCCATTAAAAAGTGGGCAAAATAAGACATTTATGCGGCCAAGAAACATATGAAAAAAAACTTAACATCACTGATAAATAGAGAAATGCAAATCAAAACCACAATGAGATACCATCTCATGCCAATCAGAATGGTGATTATTAAAAAGTCAAGAAACAACAGATACTGGTGAGGCTGTGGAGAAATAGGAATGCTTTTTACACTGTTGGTGGGAATTAGTTTAACCATTAGTTTAACATAATTAGTTTAAATTAGTTTAACCATTGTGGAAGACAGTGTGGCAATCCCTCCAAGACCTAGAACCTGAAATACCATTTGACCCAGCAATCCCATTACTGGATGTATACCAGTAATAGTATACATTTATACCAAAGGAATATAAATTATTCTATTATAAAGATACACACCTGTGCATGTTCATTGCAGCAATATTCACAATAGCAAAGACATGGAATCAACCCAAATGCCCATCAATGATAGGCTGAATAAAGAAAATGTGGTACATATACACCATGGAATACTCAATAGCCATCATGTCCTTTGCAGGGACATGGATGGAGCTGGAAGCCATTATCCTCAGCAAACCAACACAGGAACAGAAAACCAAACACTGCCTATTCTCACTTATAAGTGGGAGCTGAACAATGAGAACACATGCACACAGGGAGGGAACGACACACACTGGGTTTGTTGGGTGGGGGCCGGGGTAGGGAAGGTGGAGCATCAAGATAAATACCTAATGCATGCTGGACTTAATACCCAGATGATGGGTTGATACAGCAAACTACCATGTCACACGTTTACCTATGTAACAAACCTGCACGTCCTGCACATGTATCCCGGAACTTAAAATAAAATAAAAGTTAGAAAAATAAATAAAAACACCTGCCATACAGCCCTCCTGCTTTTAAAGGAATAATTAGAATCTGTGCATTCTGAATCATTGTTAATTTAGTTCAGACCTATGAACTGACCCAGAAAAACATCCACATTTATTAAGCACATAATTTAATGCACGTCTATCACAATGTGATAATGTAACACACGTCTATCACAATGTGATGTCTTTTATACTTATTGTTAATAGGTATGTTCATGACAAGTTCAGGGACAGGCATATCATTATCCACATATTTTAAGTTAGATATTTCCTGAAGTCACACTGCTACTTGTTGAAAAATTCCCATTTGAACTCCAATCTTTGACATCCAGTGGCGAGTGCTATTACTCTGGCACTTTGACTTAGATGATTCAGGGCAGGCAGCGTAGGAATGCATGAAGAACTCTACACCATTTCAGTTGGAGGCCATTTCTATTCATGGAGTAGACTATTACTAGCTTATATATGTTATACTCTATCACTTTTTCCTGCTTATTTTATCTTGTGGGAAAACACCAAAATCATTATGTGTGTAATATTCTTTAATTCTGTGTAAGTTGAAATACAAATATCTGTTCTGGCATAGCTAATATTTACATTTCTCAAGTTTCTTTCCAGTTAAATCATAATATTGTATATACCTACATATGTATATCTGTGTGTTTCTGGAATTTGTATGAAAGATATTAATTTAGCTTCCATTCCATTTCCTTTATTGTCATACAATTCTTGGATTTGCTGTTTTACAACATTCTAATGCAGTCCTAAATGAAAATCATTTGTTATTCTAGGGCTGCATGCTGAATTAGGTTTGGATAACAAAGCAAGTAGAGATGACTATCACATATGAGAGTGAAGCAATCCAAAGTAACAGATGACAAGGTCTCTATGGAACTTTGTTGCTTTTAAAAGCCTGAAGTTCTTCAGAGAGTGCTACTGCAGATTTTCTTGATTCTTACAAAACAATTGGTCCGGAAAGGTAAAAACTCAAAAGTCACCAAGAAATCTTTCCTCTGCCTTTCCCAACCAGTGCTTCCTACTGAGTATGTTTCTTTTGAAGCCAGGATAACTTGCTCTGTTGCAGTTTCAGAAAATAGTGTGAAATTAATTTTTATCATCACCAAGAACTGGAGTTCAAGCACAAGCCTCCCACGCAAATTGTCCATCCAGAGTTGTTGTAAACCCAGAACTGGGTCATGAGTCTCAACAAATGCAGGCACTCTGGGAAGCAGGGAAAGTTTAGACTTTGACCAATCATACTAGCAATGACTTAACTTCAAGGAGCTCAGTACCAAGAAAGAGACAAACAAGGCTGCCCAAAGTGTATTCTGCTGAATGGCAACACCACTGAATATTGAGAGGTATTATGTTTAAAAGGACTCCATGGACATAGTGTGTAGAAATGCCTAAATTTATTTATCTAAGGAACCTATTAGTGTGTGTGAGGATGGCATGTTAACAGACCAATGCTCTATAAAACACACCTTGGGAAATATTGGGGTATGGCATGAGGAGCCCCATTTGAAATAAGTTATCTGCAGGAAATAAAGAGGGTACAAGAGAGAACATTTGTTTCTTTGTATCCATTTTTGTTTGGAAGTATTGTTTTGAACAATTGTTTAGATTGAAATAATAATAACATTTTTGCATCGCATGTAACATTACCTTTTCCAGAAGTTTCATCTTCATTTCTTCTTTTTATTGCCAAGGAACCCTGTGATGGTACTTCAGGTAGCTGTATTCAATTTTACAAGCTGTATTCAATTTTACAGTTGAGGAAACTGATACATAGAGAAGGTGAATGCCTTTTGCACTCAGGATAGGCTAAGTCAGGGGATCAGAAAACTAGGCCACACAGGCCAAATCTGGCCCGCAGCCTGTTTTTGTACAGTCTGGAAACTAACGGTATATATATATATATACACACACACACACATATATATGTATATATATACACACACACATATATATGTATACATATATATACACACACACATATATATATGTATACATATATATATATACACACACATATATATATATGTAAGGTAATAAACCTTTAAAGAGGAAGAGAAAAGAAAAGAATATATGACAGAGATCATATGCGGCCCACAAAGCCTGAAGTATTTACTGTCTGGCCTTTTACAGAAAAATTTTGCCAGCCCCCGGACTAGGTTATACGGTTATGCTCTGGTAACAAACAATACTCATACCTCAGTGATTTTGCCCAACAATATATATTTCTTGCTGATGCCACATGCCCAAGTCAAGGTGTCAGGAGTCTCTGCTTATCCGTATCACTTAGGAACCTGAGCCGCAAGAAACTTCATGTCATTATGTGCCCCATGGTCACCTCTGCAATAAGAAGGAGATGTGATGAGCTGCGTACTGGCTCTCAGAATTTCCACCTGGGTGTGAAACGCTCCACTTCTGCTCATAGTTCACTGGCCAACCAAGTCACATGAACTCATCTAACTTCAAAGGGGTGGGGAAATACAACCTTACCTTATGCCTGGAAGAATGAAATCCAGAAATATTTGGTGAACAACAGTATTAATACTGGATACATGTGAATGTGAGTGTGTGAGAGAGAGATATATAGAGAGAGTGAGTGTGTATGTGTGTGTGTGTAGAAAGCTAGTTCAGAAAGTGAGGTGTTGGAATCCATAGCCTCTGAAATCTTTATTGATTTTCTTCATACATATGTGTAAGATATATATATAGTGATATGGCTTGACTCTGTGTCCCCACTCAAATCTCATCTCGAATTGTAATCTCCACAAAGTTCCTCCTTCGCTCCTGTCTCACTTGCCACCATGTGAAGAAGGTGCTTGCTTCTCCTTTGCCTTCCACCATGATTGTACATTTCCTGAGGCCTCCCCAGCCACGTGGAACTGTGAGTCAATTACACCTCTTTCCTTTTTAAATTACCCAGTCTCAGGTATTTCTTTATAGCAGTGTGAAAATGGACTAATACATATAAGAACCTCTATTATATATGGATATGTAGATTTCTCTATTTTTACATATTGAATTCTTATAAATATATCTACTATATATTCTATATTGAATTCACATATATAAATATATATAATAGAGATCTCTCCATAGCTATGTATTTATCTATAGATATATATTATACATATATTGAATAATATAAAATTCAATATATGATCTATAGAATAGGATTCTGTATATATAGTAGAGATCTACCTATCTATCTCTTTGTGTATAGAGAGATGGAAAAATGAATCAATCAGGTTTCACCGGACATGGATGTCGGGTTTCAGGTGTGTGTACATGCATGTGAGCATACTCTACATTATGCTGTTGATCACCAAATATACATACAGAGCGCACATAAGAGAGAGGTGTATGCGTGTATGTAATCAAGACTCCATTATGTACAAGTTACAAAACGAACGTGAAAAAATAAATTTAAACTTTCTTTTGAAATGTAGTTTTCTAGTGTTAAAGGATTTAACATTTCTTGGCTTACAACAGTGTACATTGTCTTATGTTAACATGTTCCCTGCAAAGCTGTTTAAAAATTAAATAATACAATTTTTACTTTAAATATCACAACTTTGGGGAGTTCTTTTCCAAAAGAGAAGAAAAGAAAGAAGGAAGAAACTTCTAGTAATGTGAATAATCAGCTTCTAGTTACATCTTTGAAAGCTGGAGCTTGTGTGTAATAAAATGCTTAAAATAAAGGTGTCTCAATTTTTTAAGCAGCAAGAAAATACTTGGAGAATTAAAAGACAATATATATTAGCATTAGAAGAAAACCTACAGATGATTCTAGTCTACCTTCCTTATTTTATCGATGAAGATGGTGAAATTAGTAATGACAGATCCAAAGTGCAAGGTTCTTAGAAGTTTTTTAGTTTTTGGATTCTCTCTCAACCATATACTTCTCTTAGATTAAACCTTTTTTTTTCTCTATGTAAAAGCACTGTATCATTTTCAAATCATGGTCAATAGATTTTTGGATGATTTCATGTTGAAAATTATTGCTCTGTGTGACAAAGGGAAGCCTGCTTCCTCTATCCCAAGAACAGTCTACTTGGTTTTTAGAAGGCATTGTGAATGTACAGCATCCTTACTGCACGGCTGCATGCACAAGGCCAAGCTGTCTCTGAAAGAATTCCACACCTGACAGGATGCTGGCCACACCTTTCTTGGCTCAGAGACAAAGCAAGGAAATTGTGGAAGGTAAGTAATTGAAGAAATCATTTTCTTCCTCTTCATGTATGCTTCTTTTCTTGGATCTGGGATTATTGGTGGGCTTATTTTTTGTCTCTTTCCATCTTTGACACTTTCTTTTTACTTAGGAGATGCCAAATGAGAGACACATAAATTATGAGGTTTTTTTTTTTTAAACCCTGCAATTGACCATTGCATTGGTGTATGCTTTGTCATTTGCAAGATTCACAAATAACACAATTCCTGGTGTTGGGGGGCATCCTAAAAGGGACAATTTCTTTTCAGAATAATAAATCACAATATTTAAAGGGAAGAGATCTTGTGAAAAAGCTATGAATGGAAGAGTCCAAGCCTGGCTTCCATCTGTGTTTGGGGAACAGTTAACAGCAATGTGTGGGAAGTCAAACAAAAATGGAGAGCCGAGATCTTTGCTTTTTAAAACAAGGATGTTTGTTTAAGAAAAGTATGTGTAGGGGAAGAAGGGGGAGGGCTGTGGCTCCTGTGAGAGAAAGGGGACATGGGGAGACACATGTCAGCATTTCAAAGGATTTTTGTGCATGCAGGATAGTAAATAAATTGAAGAGGCAATTTTTATAAAAAATATTTGCCCAGTCAAAGCGGGAAGTCAGTGAAATTGTAAGGTTGCTGCTGAGTAGTTAAATCCTCAGGTACGGCTTGGCTTGTGACCGTCACTACTATCCATCTCAGTTGGCTTCTCGGGGCTTTTCCATCTTTTCTCTGAGAGTCTCCGTATTTCCATTCAGCTCCTGGAATTGACCTGTATCGCTGAGAAACGTGATTAAGCTGCTTTAAAAAGCCTCTAATTTCCATCTTGCGAAAGAAAAATATAAATGCAAAGATGGTGCCATAGCTACTAGCTCCGTTTCAAGGCGTCTGGGTGTCAGACATCAGAATATAAATCAGGGAAGGCATTTTACCAGATAGTGTACATTGTGATGAATAAAACACAGAGGAAACGGGGACTTCATAAAAATAAGAAGTACAAATATCCAGTCATGAAAGGTACATATTTGTTAAAGATTATGCCTATTGAAATGATGAGTTGGAAGAATCATTTTATGTGACTTTACAGGCTCATGAATATAAATGACTTTATTGGCCCATGAATATAAACAACTTAAAATATGACAAATATATTCTTTAAAAGGAGTTAGCTATCTCTTTAGGTTTTCATTATCTTTCAAAGAGAAACAAATTTAAGAATCTTAGCTTTTCACCAATGAAATTACAGTCTGATTCTCTACGAAGTTATGAAAATGGTAAAGAAACTTTAAAAGATCTTATCTCCACATATACAAACATTTCTTATTTGTGTAAATTCAAGTTAATATATGAATGTAAAAGCATAGTTCATATTTGTAGTGAAATTGAACTTCTTTCAAAGAAAATATCTCAACATATAGAGTATCAATCAATTTCAGAAAATAAAAAGTCTTCAAGCTTTACATATTGCAAGCTTGAGATATTGTGGGATCATATTTAATCAGTGATGGGTTAATGTTCTAAGCAAACTGTAATTAAAAATAAATAGGTCTGTAAGCTACCTAATCCTCAAGTGTGCCAAATGAGGCAAACATTTCACTTCTGTAAAAATAAACTTCTAATTCTAATCTAAAGCACTAGTTGAGCCTCCCATCAAGGAATTTTGTGATGTTTGTTCATGTATCTAAGATACTTTTTTCAGACTTATGAATATTTATGAACCACAAGGTTCAATCCAGTATTATAAGAAGTAAGAGGTAGTGTCTTCTAGACGTAAAGGATGCTTATAATTCTACTGTGTCTCCAGATACTCACTGGCATCTTGTCATGCTTGAATGAGCCATTCAAAATAAAGCTGCCGTCTAATCGAAGTACCTGAAGTGCAAAAATGTGAGAAGAATTTAATGAAGCATAAATTGTCATTTGGTTGAAGATACAGACCCCTTTACTGTAGCACAATTAAATACAACATAATGGAGGCTTCTGTTCATGAATCCCAATCGCCTTCTGTTTTGCAGACAGGAAAACTACAAGATCAATTAATGTCTTTATTGTGGACTGTGGTGCATGGAGAGTAAATGTGTTCTCACCCTCTCTCTTTTCCCCATCCTTCCCCCAACGAGGCACACATTTTGTATGTGTTTACAATTAAGAATTTGTCATGTATAAGACACTGTGTTCAATGCTAGTGGGAAATCTAAGATTAATCAAATGGCCCCACTATCTACAGAAAACAATAGCCTTTATCAAATACCAACAGGCTGTTTTATTTTTTTAAACAAAAAAGTTATTATGCAGCTCTCTAAGCTAAGACTGTGAAAGTCCCAGGCGTTGAAATTTGGAGCAAATATAGTGGTTCAATGAAAAAAAAAATCAAGCTATTTTAGGGATAATGAACTTTCCTGATTGTGAACTATGTTGAATTTCTCAGTCGTACGAGTGAGTCCATGGGGTAGCTATGGGCATGAAAGTGAGTGGTTTAATAATTGAGGGCAGAGGAAGCAGAGGGCTGTGGGAAGATTAACAAGAGTCAAGTATACGCACTCTCCACTTATAATTCTGCAGGAACCAGGAAGGAAATGGGAATGACAACTGGCTGAGAGAACATCAAAGTCCAGGAATGGAAATGGCAGCTGGCTGAGAGGTCAGTCAGGTTCAGAAAATGAGATTAGCAACTAAGAGATCTAAAAATCTACGAATAGCATACTAAACAATTTGCTCATGCATTCGTCATTTTAGAAAATATTTCTTGAGCACCTATGTATGTAAAGTGCTTTGCAGGCCAGTCGCTAGGTATATAGGTATATAGTATCTTCCTCATGCCCCCTTAAATCAAATTTGTAATTAAGTTCTGTCAATTTTACTTTTGAAATATTTCAAATGATTATTTATTTCTCTCATTCTTCACTTACAACATTTTGGTACGAGACACTATTACCTGCCAACAAGCCTACTTGGAAAAATCTAGTTGGTCTTCCCGCATCCACTCTCACCCCTTCCAAACTTCCCCCATATTGCAAATGGGTAGATTTTTAAAATGTTATTTTGATCAAGTCACCATTCAACCCCACCCCAAATTCATTCTATTAAATCCCATTGCTCTGAGAATGACGATCAGAATCACTTAGGTCGCATAAAGCTATACGGTCAGAATCTTTCAGTTCTCCACCCCATCTCAAACCACTAGCTGACTCCCTCTCCCTCTGCCATCCAACTGCATTAGCCTTTTAAAGTTCCTAAAGCAACTCTTGACCCATTCAGCCTTCGTATATGCTGTTCATGTCATCTGGACCAAACCTCTTCCACTAACTTAGTTAAACCCTGATATTGTTTGCCTGTATGCCCACCCAAATCTCATCTTGAATTGTGGCTCCCGTAATTCCCATGTGGTGTGGGAGGTAATTGAATCATGAGGGCAATTTCTCCCATACTGTTCTTGTGGTAGTGAATAAGTCTTACGAGATCTGATGGTTTTATAAGGGGAAACCCCCTTCACTTGGGTCGCATTGTCTCTTGTCTGCCACCATGTAAGATGTGCCTTTTGCTTTCTGCCATACTTGTGAGGCCTCCCCAGCCACGTGGAACTGTTAGTTCATTAAACATCTTTTTCTTTATAAATCACCCAATCTCAGATACGTCTTTATCAGCAGCATGAGAACAGACTAATACAAACCCCATTCATTTTTCAGATCTCAGATTCAGGGAACCCTTTCCTGACTACCTCAGAGTAGGTCAGGTTGTTCTGTTGTATGCCTTTGTAAGCTGATATGGCTTGGATTTGTGTCGCTGCCCAAATCTCATGTCAAATTGCAATCCCCAATGTTGGAGGAAGGGCCTGCCGGGAGGTGATTTGATCATGGGGGCAGATTTCCCCCTAGCCATTCTTGTGATAATGAGTGAGTGTTCATGAAATCTAGTTGCTTAAAAGTGCATAGCACTTTCCCCTTCACTTTCTTCCTCCTGTTCTAGCAATGTAGGATTCACCTGCCTCTCCTTTGCCTTCCGCCGTGATTGTAAGTTTCCTGAGGCCTCCACAGCCATGCTTCCTGAACAGCCTGCAAAACTATAAGCCAATTAAACTTCTTTTCTTTAAAAATTACCTAGTCTCAGGTAGGTTTTTTTTATAGCAATGCAAGAATAGACTAATACATAGGCAGAACACTTATCTCTACTTGTAATTTTTAATTATTTATTGTGAGTATTAGAATAATATCTATTTTCCCCAGAAGAGCGTTAACACCACAAGGGCAAAGACTGTGTTTGATTTTGCTCACTTGCCTGTCCCAGCAGCACAGCACCTAGCACAGCACCTAACATGTAGT
Source organism: Homo sapiens (assembly GCF_000001405.40). Classification (NCBI taxonomy): domain Eukaryota; kingdom Metazoa; phylum Chordata; class Mammalia; order Primates; family Hominidae; genus Homo; species Homo sapiens. The sequence goes on from NC_000005.10 coordinate 83,422,473, forward strand.
AGGTAGTCTATAAATATTTGTTGAGTAATTGAGTAACATAGCTGTAAATGTGTGCTGTACAGCTCAGTGGAATAAACAGTGGAATAGACATGAGCTAAGACAATCCATTAGGGCTAAATTTCTGCCTCAAGAAAAGCAATATGCCTTTAGAACTTTTGGGTCCCCAAACCTGAAATACTTATTGGGGCATCCCATCATAAACCAAAAACCATTGCTTTTAATCATGAGTACTGAGTGGTTTTAATCATTCTAGGAAATATTTCCTGAAATGTGCTGAGCATATTATTGATTTGAATTTCTCAAGGGGAAAAATATTTTTTTCTTGGTATTGACATAAATTTAGAAACCCAATTTTTAAATGATTAACAATGATGAGTGAAGCAAGGATGATATTTCTATACCTACAATTTTTCTAAATAAGTCAATGGCTCTCTATTCCCTCAGTCTCAGTCGTGACCATCTCTGCATAAGCAAAACAGCCTGATGACTTTAACTTCCACAGATTCTCTCAACACAACATCCATCAAGCATATGACTTAATTCAATTAGTATCTACTTTCAGCCAACCTGTATTTTTTCTTTGATTTGTGCAGATCTTCAGTCAAAATGTAACTAAGGTTATTTTGCTATAATAAAGCTTAGTTATCAAAAGATTAGGCTAGGATCAAGACTTGCTGAGAAGAGAGGAAAGTTATTGCATGCTGTTTAAAAATTTTCAGGCCATTGATTTTATTTGAAGATACCATTTATCCTAATAACATGTAGAAATGAATAACTTTAATGCACCTCAAGAAGCATACACAGTGGTGTTAAAATCAGTCTTGGTGAATCAGATTATTTTTTGAGTTTACAAACTGTGTTTGCTATTTTGAATAATGTTACAGTAAACTTTTATAAGTGATATGCCTGGAGGGTGGAGTTAGGAGGGACTTTCTGGCTGGTTGTGGTGGCTCATGCCTGTAATCTCAGCACTCTGGAAGGCTGAGGCAGGCAGATCGCTTGAGGTCAGAAGTTCAAGACCAGCCTGGGCAAAACCCCATCTCTACAAAAAAAAAAAAAAAAAGAAGGACTCTCAATATCTATGTATCTGAGATTTTTGTAATTTTGTTTAATTTGAATTTTAATAATAAACATGCAATACTTTTGAATTTAGCAAAAAGTAATAAAAAGTTTTTAAAAGAACCCATTTGGTGAATTATTTCTCAAAACTCAAAGTTTAGCTTCTGCTTTCACTTACAATTTTGTAAATCACGAGTTTGACTCTCCTAATGAACAATGAGAACAGTCCAGTTAAGCGAGAAACTTTGGTATTAAAACTAATCAGAGCAACACAAGATATTTTTTAAAAAAGTAAGTAAACTTAAATCCAGAAAATGATTAGTCATTCCCAAGAAAGAAGATATTCTCAGCTACTTTCATCTCTGATGGAACAGTGAAAGAAGTTTGCCATAGAAGGGAGTGACATAAAACCAGCCAAAATCAAAAAACTGTAGCAGTTGCCTGTGAGCTTGCAAGATGGATTAAAATCCCAAGGAGTTCCAGACTCAGAGAAGGTCTCCACCTATCCACTAACTCTTTCCCAAGGGGTTCACCTAGTGTTGGGGAATAGAATGCTGAAGGCTGCAGTCACGGCAGGAGAATGAAGACAAATCCTGAGGATCTCCAGGCCTTCTTTGAAAGAAATGTAGCATCTGCTGAAGGCTGAGAATAGGGCAGGAGAGTAAAATCTCTTCCAGGCTCTCAAGGGCCCCATCGAATGCATTATCTCAGATCTCCAAAGATAGGCCAGAAATTTCCTGGGATAAAAAGCCAATAATTGCGCTAGAAAGCAAAGAGGTTTTCCCAGAAATTAAAAAAGCTGGTAGTCACAGGCTGTAAAGGTGTCTCCCACATTCAGAAAGCCAGGTGACCTCCTGGCTATAGAGCACAAAGAGATCTTTGGAGTTTTATGAGTGGTCAGATCTCAAGTCCTGCTGGAGGAAAGGTCCTGATTCCAACATCAAATTATTTGAATCCAGTGGTGAACTGAATAACTAAAGCTTTAATGAAGCCCAGACACAACTAATCTATAGATTAGATTGACTCAGCCCCTCATATTGGTGGCATGACAGAAGTAGGATGTGCCTTATTCGGCGGGTAAATATTACTTAGGCTTCACTGTTGGCTTACACACAATGTTGAGTACACAATACAAAAATTTAAGTCATGCCAAGTGGTAAGAAAATTTGACCCATAGTCAAGAGGAAAACTGGTCAACAGAATCAGATGCAGAGACGGTCAAGTATAAAATACATCAGATCAGGACTTTAATAGTGCTGTGATAAACACACCAAAGAGTCTAGTGGAAAAGATTAAAAACAATGTTTTATTTAGTTTTGGCTATTTTTTTCTATTGTGTCATATAAATAGTTAGCAACATAGGACTGGCTACTTTTGCTTAATGTCATCATTCTGTGATTTATTCATGTTGCTGCACACAACTATAATTTGTTTTTTCAGTGATGTATAGAATACCATTGTATGACTATACCATAATTAATTTAACCATTCAATCATCAGCATACATTTGGGCTTCTAAATTTTTACTCTTACAAAGACTGTCATGATGCACATCCTTGTGTAAGTCTCCAATGCATACTCAAGTGTTTCTCTATACACTATACCTATGAGTGGAATTTTAGCAGATGGTACATTTTTTTCCCCACAGTAGTTGTACAAACGGGGCATGAGTTCCTATGCCTTTATATCCTCACCAACACCAGATGTCAAACTTTTTTATTTTTGTCAATTGATGGATATAAGTTGGGATCTCATAGTGGTTTTAAGCTTCAGTTCTCTAATTTCTCATGACATTGAGAATCTTTTCATATACTCATGGTCTATTTGTGTTTTCTCTTCTGAGAGAAACTTAACTTTTTTCTTATGAATTCATAGTAATTATTCATATATTCTGCAAACAAATCATCTGTCAGTTATATATGTTGCAAATCTGTTCTATTCCTTCATATATTACTGAATCCACAATACATTGCTATTATTTTACTTTAAATATTTGTTTTTTAAATGTTAAAAATGAGAAAATGTCTTGTATATTCACTGTTTCTGACAGTCCTCATTCCTTTATGTAGATCCAAATTTTAATTTAATACCATTTTCTTTCTGTCTGAAGAACTTCCTTTAACATATCGGACGGTGTATATCTACTGATAATGAATTGCCTGCCGACACTAATTTGTCTGAAAAAAGTCTTTATCTAACCTTCCCTTTTGAAATTTATTTTCACTGGGTAAAAATTCTATGTTGATAGTTGTTTCCTTCACAAATTTAGTGTTATACCTACATTGTTTACTGGCTTGCATAATTCCTGACATGAAATCTGTGGTTATTCTTATTTTGTACCTCTATTGGTAATGATTTCTTTTTCCCAGCACTTTAGAAATGTACCAGGATCTTATCGATTCTGTGGCTTCTCGTGATAAATCTGTGGTCATTTGAATTGTTTTTCCTCTGTATATAAAGTATCATTTAAGAATATTTTTCTATTCCCTCTTCTCCCTTCCTTCTGGGATTATAATTCCATGTAGATTAGACCTATTGATCCTGTCCTACAGGTCAGTAGACCCTATTATTTTTATTCTCTCCCCACCCTGACAGTCCGTCCTATATGGTATTCTGTCTCATGAATTCTAACTTCCTAGGCTTCCTGAAACTCTGAACTCTATCTCCTCAACTCAGTGAAACTTAGACGTTTCGTAAGTCTCCCCTCTCCCCGGTGGCCTGTAAACTGCCTCCAGGAATAAGTTCACTCCTTTGTGAACTCTGTGATTTCTTTTGACCAATGTCTTGACATCACTGTTTTAGATATTTTGTGACATTTTCTAATTGTTTAGGATAAAAAAAGATGTATCTGGTTCTTGTTACTCCACCAGAGCCAGAAGCAAAAGCCTACTATTATCTTCTTACAAGGAGAACTAAAGCATCAAACTTTTGGGGAGTGAGTAGATGCTAAATGCAGAGAATGATTACAGTTTCTAGTCTTCAGCAGTGCTTGGATGGAACCTGGAGCTTGATCTTAATCAGCCAGTCAGTCTGTGCCTCCACTTCACCACCACATTCTATGATCAAATCACCCCAAGGGCTCCTTTACTCCAATACCATGCAGCAACCACCTCTTCTCAGTTACCTAATATGGTGATATTTTTGCAGGTGCCCCAAAACTACCACCAGGACTACAGAACCAAAAAGGTGGCCAAACTTTCCACAGGATATTATTAAAGCTGATCTTGATAGTGGGAGAGCAAGCTGATTGTAATGGAATATATATAATACCTAGACAATGTATAAATCTTGTTCTTATTGGAACTGTAAAAACTAAACGCTGACAAAACTGACTCCCATATTTTTGACTTCCTTGAGACACATTACCTAAATAAGCAGGTAAAATACATTTTTAAAATAGATACTCATGTAGTAAACTTGTGCAAGAGAGGGGTTCTGCAATCTGGCATTGGAGTTTCTTTGACAAGCACACCTGGGAGATGGTGACAATGAGAGTGAAGCCTCAGGGTGGTTTCCCCATAGCCATGAGAATAGCTTCCCATGTTGAATAATGAAGTACTTTCATATCTGTGTGATCTTCATACTTTCTGCAGGGGCTTACCAAAATATCCACCTCTGCTTTCTTCCTACATTTGCACTGTTCCATTCAATGAGTAATTTGGTACCAAAAATAAAAGATACTAACTTATCTATTAAAAATGTTAAACAGGCCGGGCATGGTGTCTCACGCCTATAATCCCAGCACTTTGGGAGGCTGAGGTGGGCGGATCACCTGAGGTCAGGAGTTTGAGACCAGCCTGACCAACATGGTAAAACCCCATCTCTACTAAAAATACAAAATTAGTCAGGTGTGGTGGCGCATGCCTGTAATCCCAGCTACTTCAAAGGCTGAGGCAGGAGAATCACTTGAACCTGTAAGGCGGGGGTTGCAGTAAGCCGAGATGGCACCATTGCACTCCAGCCTGGGCAATGAAGCGAGACTCTGTCTCAAATAAATAAATAAATAAAGTTAAACAAATTAGTAGCAGAGGTTAGCAACTTTTACATAGTAGTTGGTTATTGATAGAGGAATATTTGATCTACGTATTTTGACTTTCAGCTTGAGTTTTTTCTTTTAACTCAATAAAAGAATTTCATGACAGTAAAATACTTGAGATGTCAGTTTTAGGGCTAGGTTTTCTCTTCAGTATTTTAAATACATATAAAATTATTAGTTATGTGTTAATGTTTTAGACTTTCTAAAATACAATTTTTTTTTTTTTTTGAGGCGGAGTCTCACCCTGTTGCCCAGACTGGAGTACAATGGTGCTATCTTGGCTCATTGCAACCTCTGCCTCCCAGGTTCAAACAATTCTCCTGCCTCAGCCTTCCAAGTAGCTGGGATTACAGGCGCCTGCCACCACACCCAGCTAATTTTTGTGTTTTCAGTAGAGATGGGGTTTCACCATGTTGGCCAGGCTGTTCTCGAACTCCTGACCTCGTGATCTGCCTGCCTTGGCCTCCCAAAGTGCTGGCATTACTGGCGTGAGCCACCGTGCCTGGCCCAATACAAATGATTTTTATTGAATACAGCTTCTTTGCTTTTCTTATTTGATTTTTCCAGGGTTAATTTGGTTATCATGAATGTTTAATCTTCCAAATTCATTCGCATAATGATAATCTTGCTTTCTAAGGATATTAGATGAGAATAAGCTTTTGAGCCAAATAATAGTTCATTCTTAGAAATAGGAAGTAAAACATTGCCAAGATTAAAACAAGCCCAAACACTGAGGTTCAAGGTCAGTTTGAAACAGAAACCACAAATTTTGATTGGATCTAACCTTGGCAGCATAAGACTCACATGAATTGTTTTTAGTATTGTATAGCAGAGATATGCATACACAGTCTAACAAAAGGAGACACAGAGACCAGTTCAAAGTAGCAGAACATTCAGAAAAGAATTAAAAACTCAGGTCTGTTTTAGTGAACATGGGTCTGGAGCCCCTGAGTCTATGTCCTGTCACTAACACACCTGGAGTAAGTTAACAGAAGGACAAATGCTGTTAGAGAAGTCAACTAAATGTTCTGAGGTGAATGAACGGCACACACACAGATGTGTGACAAGTACACATTCTTCCTGACAGATAGTCTAAGACTAAAAAATGAAAGCTCAAAAGATAGAATTTAAACATGAAAACAAGTCAATTTTGAAATTCTCATTTTCTTACTTTACATGATGTAACTAGGCCAAAATCCCCTTCTCTGGGTATCAGAAGTCTAGGAAAGGCAAAAAGATATTTATAACATTCTTATAAGTCACTAAAAAGGCAGTGTAAATATATGCTAAAACATTTTATTTTTAAAGTGCTACTATAAAATGTTACTATTCTATAGTTGAAAACTGGTTTCTCATTGTCAGTGGATCTCATGGAATACCACTATTGAGTTTGCTAGCACTTCACTATGTTTCTTTTCTTTTCCTTTTTCTTTTCTTTCTTGTTTTTTGGAGACAGGGTCTCTCTCTGTCACTCACATGGAAGTGCAGTTGTGCAATCACTGCTCGCTACAGCGTCCACCTCATGGGCTCAAGCGATCCTCCCACCTCAGCCTCTTCAGTAGCTGAGACCACAGATGTGAGCCACCACGCCAGGCTAATTTTTGTAGCTTTTGCAGACAGGTTCCTACTATGTTGCCCAGGCTAGTCTCGAACTCCTGGGCTCAAGCAGTCCTCCCACTTCGGCCTCCCAAAATACTGGGATTACAAGTGTGAGGCATCATGCCCAGCCTACTGTGTTTCTAGGAGAGCCTTGCAAATTCAAAAACACAGGCCATAACATTTTTAAAACTCTTTAAAAGACTCTGAAACATAATACGCATGAAAGAAGTATAAAACATAGACAATAAATTATCATAAAACAAAATACTGTGGAACTATAACATGGATGAAGAAATAGAATAATGTCAGCAACCCACAAGCCCTTCCCAAGGTTCATGACATATTGAGTTGTTCATGAAAATAGCTCATAACGGTTTTGAAGAATAAAAAGAACATTGTAAGTCATATCTTCAAAAATTAGTATTCCATATAAGTAGCATGTACCAGACTTATTGGAACAGTCTTGGTAAATTAAAACCTACAATAAGCCAATATTTCTATTTCGTTTGAGTACAACATTTCCAGATACGAGCTAGAGATCATGAATATCGTCAGCATCTGACTCAGCGCAGCTCTAGCCATGCCTTGCTTCATGATGATATTACATTGCTACGCTCTGAGACCCACCCGGGGGCTTTGCTTTGTGATCTGAAAAGCCTGGCTGAGAAAATAGGCAAATATTCCCTTCTGGAAGCAAAATTTGTGAACTCATCTCCTCTCCCAAACATTCATTCAGCCTTATCTCACCTTTCTCAGAGGCTGCCTCTGCCTCCTTACAGGATACATTCTGCCCTGGGTACCAGGCAGACATCATCATGGTCATTATTTAATGCACTATCTGTTTTGTTATTGCCTGTTAGCTTTTTTTTTTTTCTCCAATTATACTTGGAGGGTTGATTCTAGACAGGTTCTATTTCCGCATTCCCAGCAAGCAGCTTTGTGCCTAGAACTCACTGTGCATATATTACACATTTATCAATGAAAGGTTTTAACGTGGATCAGGATGACTCAGGTGACACTGAGTCTGGTCTGCCTGTAGGAAATTGATCCTTGTTCTATCATCACCCAATACTACAATCTTAGGCAAGTGATAAGATAAGCCTGGCTCTCAGTATTTTAATCTGCAAAACAGGGATGACCGGTAAGGTGATCTCTAAGAGGACCGTACAGCTCCCAAATGCTTTAATCCTGCTAGATCCTCAGAATACTTGAGTATGAAATCTTCCAAAATGATGGCACCCAATTTTCACACTAAATGGGAAATCTTGATTGTCTTCACCACTATTCAAAACTGTGATTTTCAGACAAAAACAATTTTAAAACAAATGTATTTACCTTTCTCAAGACCACCAAAACGCTTAGCAGATTGGTTTTTGAACGACAGGACAAATCCTGGCCTGTCCTGGAGATGAAACGCCACCTAGTGGATACATTCCTAGGCAGTGCGTTCCCCACCGGAACAAGAGGGCGCTTTGTTCTCTGTGGCTGATGGCTTCTACTCATTTTCTCCTTCCTCCACCTGACACTCCTATCTCAACCTTGTCATTTCTTTGGCTTTCTAAAAATTATAGGAATACTTATCTTGGTAAGAGAAAATGTGTTTATTTGAACCATGTTTGATTTAATTTTTACCTATTTGCTTTACATTGCCAGCGTAGTTGGCATTTTAAGGAAAAAAGATAAAAGTCCAGCATACTCAGACTGAGTCTTTTTAGTTTCTTATCAATTTGGTTTGAAAACAATCCTTGAGCATTCGGAGACGCCTTGGCTAGACAGACAGAAAAAGGATAGTAGAGTTCACATGTCTCATAAGCAGAAGAGACTATAGCGCCCAAGCTTTTGTCCAGTTCCTCACCAAAGGACCAGTATTTTACAATTTTTCTTGTTTTAAAGAGAAACCATTATAGACAACTAATCTAGCGCTTTGGACAAGTAAATTTACTTCAGTGTGAAGTGGAATCTTTGCCTGGATAATGTTTTCACTGAGCTTAAGGAAATTTAAGCGACGGCTACTTAAAATGAACAGAAGGACAGGATTATACTAGTTATTTTTTTCTCTACCTAGCAGAAAAATATCCATCAGTTCTGCCTGTTGAGTTTCAAAGAAACTTAGAAAAAGGTGGTCTTCGTTAATTGATGAAACATCAAGAGGATTGCTACAAACCTCTAGCCCAGCTCCTGATGCCTCTAAGGTACTTTATCATTTTTGCAGCAGAAACTTACTCATTTAACCAGAGCTAATGATTCCTTCCAGCAGTCCCATGGCAGCCAGCTCTTCATATTGTAATTGCATCACTGAGGCTCTGTATGTCTCCAGCCTTTCCTAAAAAACCTTTTTTTTCTTTTCATTAGTTTTTTTTTTTGCTAAGTACCTCTAGCCAGCTCAGGGCATTTTAATTTATATTTCCTACAACCATCAACCTAGTGTAAAATTTCTTCACTTCTTTACAGACTTTTGTTTCTCTTTCTCTGACATCTCTTACTGTATCTCAAAAAATATGGAAGTTTTCTGAACCTAAAAATAATTCTTTTATTAATCCTAATATATATTCAAATTAAAGTTGTCTCCCCGGCCCCACCTTCCTTTCTTCTTTCTTTCCATAAATAAATAAATAAATAAATAAATAAATAAACTCTTTCAGAAACAGTCCTAAGGTATTAATACAATCTCCCTGAGTTCCAGAAACACATTTCCCAGTGGCAATTCTGTAGAGCCTCATTCCTAATGAAACCACTCAAAGGATTATGCCAAGATTTCTAAGTAATAGTCTTGTCCTTCTGCTCACGAACAAGTTTTATAGACTTGCTCTTCTTGCTTGTACCTTCTAGAAGAGGGCATATAGCTCAATTCAAACAGCCAAAAAGAAAAAAAAACTCAGAGGAAACATGGAGAAATTACAACCCTATAGTTAGCCTTATTTATGCTTCTACCCACTCCCACTGAAGGAATATATACTGTCAGTCAAAAGCTGCTCCTGTTCCTCCAATACATTTCATACTCAGAGTTCCTACAGAGATCATAGGCAAACATGAATTTCAAAGTCAATGTGCCAATAAATAAATGTCTATTCATATGTATTAGTTGTCTTAGGTGTTGAGTAGAAAATGGAAATAAAGATAAGGCACAGTTCTTGGATTCTGAGAGATTACAGTAAAATTTGAATGGCAAGATGAACATATAAACATTCATGGGAAACAGATAAGCAGGCATATCATAAGTCAAATTGAATTTTCCTATAGATATAATGGCAGATGTGTTGCTGACCAGGGACTTGACGCTAAACCTTGTATAGAATTAATCATAAGTACGGTATAAATAGTACACCTGCATTGCATAAATGTTTCTAACAGACATATCAAGAAGTCAAATAAAGAATCATGGTGTAGTTGGTTGAATGATGCCCACCCCTTCAAAAAAATATGCCCATGTGTTAATGCCCAGAACCTGGGAATATGCCCTTATTTGGAAAAAAAGTATCTTTGCAGATCTAATTAAGGATCTTAAGATGAGACCATCCTAGATTACCTAGATGGACCTAAATCCTATGATGTATCCTTATAAGAGACAGAAAAGAAGACAAGACACAGAGAAGGCCATGTGAAAACAGAAGCAGAGATTCAAATTATGCAGCCACAAACCAAGAAGCCCTTGGAGCCACCTGAAGCTGGAAGAACTTCTCTTAGAGCTTTTGGAAGGGGAGCAGCCCTACAAACACCTTGATTTCAGGCCTCTAGTTCATACCCATGAGAGAATACATTCTGTTGTTTAAACTACCAAGTTTGTAGTAATTTGTTATGGCAGCCACAGGATACTAATACACATGGTATCTTAGTCTGTCCCTGCTGCTGTAACAAAATACCACAGACTAAGTAATTAGGTAATTTTGAAAGCAAGAAATGTATTTCTCACAAATCTGGAGGCTGAAAGTCCAAGATCAAGACTCCTGTAGGTTCAGTGTTTGATCAGGGCTTGACTCTGCTTCTAAGATGGCACCTTGTTGCTACATCCACTGGTGGGGATGAACAGTGTCTTCACATGATGGAAAGGCAGAAGGGCCTAACTAGTTCCCTTTAGCCCTTTTATAAGGTTGCTAATACCATTCATGCGGACAGAGCTCTCATGGCCTAATCACCTCCCAAGCACCCTACCTGTTAACCTTCAGGCTTAAGTTCCAACAAATAAATTTTAGAGGGACACATACAGTCACACCGTAGTACATGGTAGCCAATCATATAAAACCCTGTTGATGGTCTTCTTTCATTTACCATGATTCTTGCCTTACCTTTACTGTAACGAATCAGAAATTAGAAGCACAGCCATATGGGATTAATAAAATTCAGTAGAGTTCCTATGGGGATTGTAATAGCATTTTTGAAGAGATCCCTAGGGTTGATGGTAAAATTTAGAGAAACATTCCCATGTTTATCCTTAAGTTCTGGGTAACAAGTAAAGGCATTAAAGAGTAAGCTTTGTGGCCAGGCGTGGTGGCTCACACCTGTAATCCCAGCACTTTGGGAGGCCGAGGCAGGTGGATCACCTGAGGTCGGGAGTTCGAGACCAGCCTGACCAACATGGAGAAACCCCATCTCTACTAAAAATACAAAACTAGCCGGGTGTGGTGGCGCATGCCTGTAATCCCATCTATTTGGGAGGCTGAGGCAGGAGAATCGCTTGAACCCAAGAGGCGGAGGTTGCAGTGAGCCAAGATCATGCTGTTGCACTCCAGCCTGGGCCACAAGAGTGAAACTCTGTTTCAAAAAAAAAAAATGAATAAGCTTTGAGTCATCTGTTGCCTTCAAACCAAGGTCTGTCTGGCTTCTTAAGGAAAATATAATTTTAAAATTGTATTGTTTTTCTTATACGTAACACAATTGAGAAAACAAGACCTCAAATCTTTAAGATATCTAAATCAATTGTTTTGAGCACTTTGATCTGCTACAACGTTACTTCATCATTTTGGAATCCTTAAAGCTATGCTTGGATTTGATGACCACAGCCAAAGTCATACATTGTTAAATTTGATCCTGAATGTGCCTAATTAAAAGCATTTGTATTTTAGTCATAAGACTTATTCTTTATCAAATATCAATTGTTTGAAATCATTCTTTTTCCCTTTAATAGTTGTATTAGGGGAAAATTTGAGATGCAATTCAAAAATAATGAGATTAATTCCCAAACAATGCGAGGTGCAGAGTAGGCATTCGATAAATAAAGATGTGTTCAATGAATTAATGTATTCATCTAAGAGTTAGACTTTTTCTTTTTTTCAGATAGAGTTTCACTCTTGTTGCCCAGGCTGAAGTGCAATGGTGCAATCTCGGCTCACTGCAGCCTCCGCCTCACGAGTTCAAGCAGTTCTCCTGCCTCAGCCTCCTGAGTAGCTGGGATTACAGGCGCCCGCCACCATGCCTGACTTTTTTTTTTTCTCTTTTTTTTTGTATTTTTAGCAGAGATGGGGTTTCACCATGTTGGCCAAGCTGGTCTCAAACTCCTGGTCTCAGGTGATCTGCCCGCCTTGGCCTCCCAAATTTCTGGGATTACAGGCATGAGCCACCACACTTGGCTGAGTTTGACTTTTAGGCAGACCTCTGATTAAGATGTGCATACTTAAAATTTACTTGCTAAAGCTGAAGATCTCTATAGAAAGTCAGAGATGGCTGTAAAATAAAGCCCATCTTACTTCCTTATGCAGAAGAAACAGCTACAAATCCCTGAAGGGGCTGGAAGAGTGAAGCTAACCTGAAATTAAATAAGAGAGAGGGTTAGGGCCAGGGTACACTAGAAGGCACGCTCTATCTTAAGAGAGTAGCCACTACTGAGCTGTAGCTAATGGTTGCCATGCAGAAATTTGAGCCTAATGTTGCCACTTTTCTCATATTTTCAAGAAAAGCCAGAAATATAGACGAGAACATTTGCCATTTTAAAAGTTGGCAATGAGTTCACTGAAAAAGAAAACACTCTGTGTTGGCCAAATAAAACACATCTGCTGGCCAGATAGGCCTAGAGCCTTACAGTCTGGGTCTCTATTTCTTACCATCTTCCACTTCTCTTTACTTCCCTTGGATATCTTTCTATTTCCTCTTTCTTTCTCTCGTTCCTTTCAATTTCTTGAACCACTAATTGATTTGAAACCAGCATCTGGAAAAGAAGTTGTACAGGGCAGGAGGACTGGAGCGCTGGAAGGGTTCTGAATGCCAGAACAATGCTTCCCTGGAACAAGGCAGAAAGCAGCCCTGGGAAGCAAGAAGAAGGGCTGTGGATATCATAAATGCTGAAGTTTTGTCCATCATTTAATGAGTATATCTAATCACTGGAATGTTACTTAACCCCTTTGGTTCTTAGTTTTTCCATCTATAAAATGGGGATAATTGTATCAATATCCATTGTACAGCTATTATAAAACCAAATGAAATAATAGTTTTAAATGAACCTTATCAATATAAAGAGCCATATGATTATTAATCAATACCAACATTATTAATAATGAAATAATTATTTACATGCTGATGCTTGTTATTATTGTTTGTAATTCATAAGAAATGTGCCTAACCAGAAGCCAAATAGTCATAAATTAAACATGCCGTGGTGGATTATACAGACAGTATATTTAGTGTAACTTACGTGATAGAGACTAAAAGTGCTATAAAATTTCATAGGAAAAGAAGATTAATGACAACTAGAATAATAAGGGGAAGAGTGTTAGAGTGAGACAGAGTTGGAAGGCTACAGAAGATATTAATATTATTGAGTTGTTGCAGGTGTCAAAACAAATTTCACTTTGGAATTACATTTTCATGAATATATTCTATGTGGAGCACCAAATATATTTAGTTGTTGATTTCTCAACCTTCATTCATTCACTCATTCATTTATTTATTCATTCAACTGATGTTTACTGACCACTTATAGGTGCCAGGTATTTTGATAGCTGCTATGTATACACTGTCCATGCCCTGAAAGAGCTTACTATCAAGAAATTAAGTTCGGGCGATCCTAGGTTAAACAAAATAAAACATTCTTGGGTAGAATTATTGTATACATATATGTGTGTTCAACTGAAAGACTCTCTGGTCTTTTAGTATCCTTGAGTCTGGAAATATAAAGAAAATGGTATGTTATAGTCCTTATAGATTAGTGATTGTACCCATTGCTTAAACTTAGAGATGCTGCACCTGAAAAGTTGTCTAGAGGTTGAAGAAAAACTATTGAGCATATCATTTAAAAACAGAAACATGAGACTGCTTAGAAATAAATAGGTATACATAAAACCACTGTGACTAACTTAATATAAATCCTTTTAAAATTGTCGAGTCATGTTGTTATTACATACTTTATCAATTGATAGAATGTCTATCATGAAGTTGTCCTTGATTTTTTGGATTATTATCAAAAGTTTCTGTAAGATTGCTGGTAACGTGATACACGTTACCAAAGAATTGAAACCCTCCAAATCACGTCATCTGATTGTAAGCACAATATAAGTTGTGCCCCGATGTTCGTTAATAGCTGCTGTAACTAGTGTGGCCTACAATAGTGTGATTCATGTAGGACCTCTGTCCTCAATTCAAAACTCCTAGAAAACGTATACAGATTATGTAAGTAGGGATAAGATTTCTAACATTTCTGGGCTCTAGTTGTGGAAATTAGTGGAATTGTGGAAATTCCACTAGACTATAGAAAGGGAGTACTATTGTAGTATACAACACTGCTGTTGCCTTATTAGTTATAGCATGATAGGTGCTGAATTGTGATTCACAATTTGAAAACACTGTAATCCAAACAATGCAATTACATACATTGCAATAAGAATGTTGTTTTAAAGTTTATATTTAACTGTTTTGCTCTATTTTTTTCTCACTAAAATAGAACTTTAGGAAATTTGAAAACTATATGAAAAAATATTCATCTCATATAAAGCTGGCATAGGCAGGTCTATATCTTACCAATAACTTAAATGTTTGGAATAAGGGATTTGTGTAGAATGAAAGATTATTTAATAATTCATTCATAATTAATTTCAATAAAATTATTATTTTGCTGTCCCCTAAGTCTATAGTTCATTCATTATTCTATGTAATTACCAACAAACAAGCACCGGTAGGGGCAAAGGAAATCATGCTAAAGTTCAAGGTCTTTTTTTTGTTTTTTGTTTTTTTTTTGAGACAGAGTCTGACTCTGTCATCCAGGCTGGAATGCAGTAGCGCGATCTTGGCTCACTGCAACCTCCACCCCCCTGGGTACAAGCAGTTCTCCTGTCTCAGCCTCCCGAGTAGCTGGGATTACAGGCACCCGCCACCACGCCCGGCTAATTTTTGTATTTTTAGTAGAGATGGGGTTTCACCGTGTTAGCCAGGATGGTCTTGATCTCCTGACCTTGTGATCCGCCTGCCTCGGCCTCCCAAAGTGCTGGGATTACAGGCGTGAGCCACCGCACCCTGTCAGTTCAAGGTAGTTTTATTTTAATAATGACCACACACTTTAAAGTAAACTATACTTTTTTTCTCTAATTTCAACTTCATAGTTTTTTGGGTTTTCTTAAATTAAAAAAAGTCATGTCTGCTTATTTTTGGGGGATTAAATCCAGAAGCATTTAAATGATACTTTTTTAGAGTTGAAAAGTCACATAGATATTTTAAAAAGAGACCATGAGGCGCCCCGTCTGGGAGGTGAGGAGCGCCTCTGCCCGGCCGCCCATCGTCTGGGAAGCGAGGAGCACCTCTGCCCGGCCGCCACCCCGTCTGGGAAGTGAGGTGCGCCTCTGCCTGGCCGCCCTGTCTGGGAAGTGTACCCAACAGCTCCGAAGAGACAGACCATGGAGAACGGGCCATGATGACGATGGCGGTTTTGTCGAAAAGACAAGGGGGAAATGTGGGGAAAAGAAAGAGAGATCAGATTGTTACTGTGTCTGTGTAGAAAGAAGTAGACATAGGAGACACCATTTTGTTCTGTACTAAGAAAAATTCTTTTGCCTTGGGATGCTGTTAATCTATAACCTTACCCCCAACCCTGTGCTCTCTGAAACATGTGCTGTGTCAACTCAGGGTTAAATGGATTAAGGGCGGTGCAAGATGTGCCTCGTTAAACAGATGCTTGAAGGCAGCATGCTCGTTAAGAGTCATCACCACTCCCTAATCTCAAGTACCCAGGGACACAAACACAGCCGAAGGCCGCAGGGACCTCTGCCTAGGAAAACCAGAGACCTTTGTTCACGTGTTTATCTGCTGACTTTCTCTCCACTATTATCCTATGACCCTGCCACATCCCCCTCTCTGAGAAACACCCAAGAATGATCAATAAATACTAAAAAACAACAACAAAAAAAAAACAAAAAAAAGAGACCATGAGGAAAAAGCTTTTAAAAAAGGTGTAAAAATGTAAGCTCAAGTAGACCTGATCCAATGATACTCAAGCAGAAGTGTTTCCCAATGAAGTAACTTTTAAAGTTTTCCAAAAGATGTCTAGTTTTCTGAAAGACAAATTAGATAATTATAACATTTAAGGGAAAATTCAGATGCTTTTTGGATATTAAACTTTATCCAAGCACAGATACTAATTGAACTTAAGGTAACTAAACCGTAGCACTTTTTGAAGAAAATATTTTATTGTATTTTACTTTTATTTTTGTTTTTTGAGATGGAGTCTTGCTGTGTCACCCAGGCTGGAGTGCAGTGGCACGATCTCAGCTCACTGCAACCTTCACCTCCCAGGTTCCAGCGATTCTCCTGTTTCAGCCTCCAGAGTAGCTGGGACTACAGGGGCCCACCACCATGCCCACCTAATTTTTGTATTTTTAGTAGAGACGGGGTTTCACTATGTTGGCCTGGCTGGTCTTGAACCCTTGACCTCAAGTGATCTGCCCTCCTTGGCCTCCCAAAGTGCTGGGATTATGGGCATGAGCCACCACACCCAGCCCTGAAGAAAATATTTTAAATTGAAGGACAATAGAAAGTGTAAACGGAGTATTCTCTTTAAATTTCTTTGAGATACTATTATGTTTGAAAGCAGAGTGCAGGAATACAGTCATTTTTGTCTTTGGTTCTTTCCTATAACTGTGAGCTCTTTAACTATCTCTGTACCAGTGATCCACATTTCTAGTAATGTAACTAGCAGGTTTCTATTCGCACTTAACAGATGCTGGCAGTAACAATGGTAATGGACAATACATGCATAAACACATAAAAACAAATCAACAAACCAAACCCAAACAATAACATGTAACAAATAAAGTTCTTTCCAGTTGAGCCTGAAGAGAGTAGAAGACTGGTAATCAAATAAATGCTTATTAAAAGAAGAACAAGCATTTATCACTTGACTGCTGTAGACTAAAAATTATACTCTATGTAATATTTCAGAGGGCACAGATAAGTGGTTGCACTAATTGGTAAACTTCTGCAGGGAAATGTAAAATATACATACTTTTGCCAGCTTGCTACGGAGATGTTCCTCACAGTTTTGGTTTTGGTGGATCTCACTGGAACTACCTAAGCAATGAATAGCACAGGACTGGATAAATAAGTCATTGTACATCCAAACTGAAGCTTAATAAAAATGTTTAAACGTTTTCTGTGAAACTTGCCTTACACACACACACACACACACACAGATCTTTTCTAGTTTTTCTAATTGAGTCTTAAAGATGCTAATGTACATTATGAGTTTTCAAAGCATAATTCATATTTAATGTTTATTGGATCAGAAAATTCTTTGTCCAAGACATAGTTGATAGAATTACTGCTGTAAGAAACTACTTTGGATTCTCTGCTTTCTACTGTATTACTTCCCCTTTTAATTCTATGTACTTCTGTTATAACTTTTACAAAGTTATAGTATTTTTAAGCTAAAAATGGGTCATGAAATTATTATATATGATGTAGTTTTTGTTATTTTATGCACTTTTATATACATAAAACTTACAATTTATTTACATATTTTCATATATAAATTGACATTTATATTTACATATTTTATGTGTATTACATATACACTTCTATATATACTGTGTATATATATACTGTATATATCAATGTGTATATATACTGTATATATAAATGTGTATATATAATACACATATATATGAACATATGTAAATAAAAATGTCTAGGAAGCCAGGCATCAAATAATTTGTAGTGGTTATCTCTGAAGAGTGACATCACTGATAATGTGTCTTTTCATTATTATATTATTTTCTTTTTGAAAAGTGTATGTGCTGAAATGAGTTTCTCATTTATACTGTTTTTTAAATGATTGTTTTCAAAAGGACGACATATAAAGATTAGAAAGTTGGAAGGTATGGGATTCCACCTAGGATATAGAGCAGGGCATCAGAGGAGGCCCATGAGAAACAAGGCAGGATTTAGAGAATTGGGGGGCAATAGGAAATCAAGCATTTTTAGATGAAGATTTTGGATGGGAAGCCATATTACCTGCAGAAAATTTATAAGTGATTCAAAGTGGTTCAGTTGTATTCATTGATGAGCTGGACTCAGCTTGTACCATCAGTATAGAGCCAATTGTGCACATCTCTTCCCATATATGCATTCAGTGACATCACATTGGTAACTTGAAATTGGCCTGTTGGCAGTATTTAAACCATGGTAATTGGCAAACACTCAAAATAGTTCCCCTTTATTCTTAAGGGATACATTCCAAGACTCCCGGTAGATGCCTGAAACCGTGGATAGTTCCTAACCCTATATGTACCTTGTTTTTTTACTCTGATAACTAAGATGGCTACTAAGTGACTAACAGGCAGGTAGTATATGCAGTGTGCATATTCTGGGCAAAGGGATGATTCATGTCCCAGGTGGGCCAGCAAGAGAGTTCATCATGCAACTCAGAATGACTGCAACTTAAAACTTACAAATTGTTTCTTTCTGGCATTTTCCATTTAATACTTTCAGGCTACAGCTGACCACAGGAAACTGAAACCACAGAAAGTAAAAATGTGGATAGTGGGGACTACAATAAATCAAGGATCCTTCACCTCCAATCCATAGAGCAAATTGTTAAATAGCGGCACAGCACTGGTTATATCCAACCTGTTCATTCACCCCAAAGTATGTTCTTATTGTTATCCACCACATGATTATCACTAATGGCAATTCACATCTGGTTACACTCTTTACAAACTTTAGGGGGAAAGTGATTAGGCTAATTTGATTAATTTCAACTTGATAAAACAGTCTTCAGAACCAAAGTTTGGGGAAGCCCATCTACTGTATGTAGAGGAGATACATTTTCTCCATCTTGACTCCAGCCACCCAGCCAGCCAGCATTATAAACTGAGAAGAGTGAGAGTTGTTAATCACCTTGTATTATTTCAACCTCAAGTGCCTAAGTGAGCTAGTAAGGTGTTTTCATTCACTTGGCTTTAGTTCCTGTTCTATGAATTGACTTTTATTTTAAGATGCAAGTTATTTCTGTGGCCAGAGGTACTTTTGTGTTAAAATTGATTTTTCAATAATGTATGATATAGCATTGATCTTGTATTTTTAAAAGACTTTGGCCTTTAACACTTGGGCTTTCTCTTCTTTCTCTCTCTTCACTTTTTACTA
Organism: Homo sapiens; assembly: GCF_000001405.40. Classification (NCBI taxonomy): domain Eukaryota; kingdom Metazoa; phylum Chordata; class Mammalia; order Primates; family Hominidae; genus Homo; species Homo sapiens. Next base: position 83,441,722 of record NC_000005.10, read on the forward strand.
TTGTTTTTGTTTTGCCTCAATTTAGGGCCTTTGGCATTGAGAAAGTTATATTTAAAGCTTTTAAAAAGTGGGTGCATTTATTTATAGGCCTTTTATGCACAGTAAGGGTATTTCACTTCCCCAATCCCATCCCCAGTCTGAACCTGCATTAGAGGGATTTATTATAAATGAACACATTGGACTGAAGGCCTCCTCTTTGCCTCCAGTCACTCACCACCTGGGAGGGGCTCCCCCAGAGATTGCGCAACCTCCTGGGAACCATTTCACTTCCCCAGAAGGTTTGCCACTTTCCGCCCCCACTACCTCGGATGTATGCATGTCAATTGTTTCACCCAAAGGCTAGAATAATTTTCTCATCTGAATTGGCTTTCGTTTGAAGCAATGTAAAGATGGAAGGATAACCCCAGGAAAATAGATAGTAAAATGTACATTTGTTTTTTATTATTTAAAAAATTTTTTTTGAGATATGGGCTCACCCTGTCACCTGGACTGGAGTGCAGTGGTGTGATCATGGTTCAGTGCCACCTTGAACTTCTGAGCTCAAGAGATCTTCCCACCTCAACCTCCCAAGTAGCTGGGACTGTAGGTGCATGCCACCGTGCATGGCTAATTTTTAATTTTTTAAAGCTATTTGTCAAGACAGGGTCTCTCTTTGTTGCTCAGGCTGGTCTCAAACTCTTGGGCTCAAGTGATACTCCTACCTCTGCTTCCCAAAGCGCTAGGATGCAAGCACAAGTCGCTGTGCCGGGCCAAATGTACATTAATTATAAAACTCATAGCCACAAGCCCATTAGCTCTCCTCTGACTTCCCAGAAAATGACAGCCAATGGCTCAGATCAGAGTGTCTCAGGAGATGACTTTTTTGAGGGGGTTGTTGGAGGGCTACATGAGCTTGCAGTAATTCCCCAAAGCCAGGAAATATACTCTTAACCAGATAAAGTGCCCTGTTGACACCAGATAAGATGCAAAGCATAATAGAGTATCTGTTAATGATCCACCAGGGTGCTTAGGGCAAGCAGGTCCTTTACAGACCCTATTTAATGAGAGAGTTTCTTGACGAACCACATGAGACACAAAGTAAAATAAAACGAAAATTCCTTACAAGAATCCCTTGCAGCTCAGCTGATATGTAACTGGGTTTCTAATAATGTACCTAAACTGAATCAACAACAACTTTCATGGATTATATTCTTACAATTTACTGAATTTAGCACTGAACAACTCTATATTCCACTGTCATTTCTGTTGCTAATGCAAGTAATGTAAAATCAACTAACTGGCCAGCGAAGAGTGATATATCCCCTTTTCTTCTCTTTTCCCCAAATTAATAGATGAGAAATTGCATTTGCTTAAGTTCAACTTACTTCATAATAAAGATTCAATACCCAAATGCAACACAAAATGAATTGTAGACTATTT